>NC_000005.10:18186608-18489638 GCF_000001405.40 Homo sapiens | reverse complement strand
ATGCTTGCAATATATTTTTCACAGTATTTTCATTAACTTTTGTTACAAAGCTATCCGCAATGACAAAATTTGCTCTATTTTCAGATGAAATTAACTTGAATTTGTATATACAGAGGGAAATTAAGGTTGACTTTGAAATTTATTAATTTTATTGTATCAATTTAATGTTTACTTAGAAATATATATTAAACTTATTAAAATTTAACAAATATGTAACATCTAATAATTTCACAGCAAAATAATTGTTCCAAAATTCTTATATCACATGGAAAATAATCCATATAATTTTGATAAAGGTCATTTATTATTATATAAATCTGAATTATATTTAAAATAATAGAGAAAAACTAATCAACTTGAAGAAGAAAATAGTAAGAAGTGATTTGAAATAAGTCATGGTTATCCACCTTTATCAAGAACTATAAAAATTACTTATAAATCTCTGTGATTTTCTTTTGTAAAACATAGGAAGTTATAAAACAAACTCCCTTTCAACTTTACAGCCCTTCAGATGTTGAAATAATGGTCATTCTTTTTCCAAATTCTCTCTATAATTCCTTCAACATAATTTGTGTGAAGTCATTTTCAAATTAGTGTCATCCTAAATGCTATATTGATAATTCTTAACACATCACATTAAGAACTGAGAAATACCTGGCACAAGTCTGACAAATGGGCAGCCTTCTCTGAATTAATTTTGAATGTTTTTTTAGCAGCCATAAAATAATTAGAAATTGTAGTCAATTCAACCCTCTAAGTGTTTTTTACATAGATTTGCCAGATAATATACAGAATGCCCAGTTGAATTTGAGTTGTATAAAAACAATAATCTTTATATGAGCATGTCCCAGCTATTGCATGGCACATTCTTATACTAAAAGTCTTATTTTTTTTTATCTAAAAATCAAATTTAATTTGACATTCTGTATTTTTATTTTTTAAATCTGAAAACCCTATTTCACATGATTTACATTGAGTTCTCTCCAATCTTGTATTTACCTATATTAATAACCTAAGTGCTAAATTTTTACTTTTTTTCAATTATATTACTATAGGTTCTTTATTAGTAGATTACAATATCCTGGCAGGCTGAAACTGTGTTTTACTCCTTTGAACATTCATCAAACTACCACACACAGTATCTTAGTAGTAACAGTTAACACTCCAATAAATATTTGCTCATTAAAATGAGATAAAAACAATACAAGTTTAAATCATTCATATATTGACTATACATGCTGTTTTCAAATACAATGAATCTTACAGAGTTCTAGAGAAGGGTTGCTTTTGAGTGGCTGCCAGCTTTAAGTAGTGCGGTAGGTTTTAGAAGAACTGTTGAAGGCAGTTTCAAGTTTCAGTAAGAACAGGAAATGATTATACTAGAGGCAATCAGGAAAAACAGACAAGTGGATTGTTATTGATGAATAGCAGTTTGCTTATGTACTGATAAGGGCACTAGACCAGCACTCATACTGTTTGTGTTTTTATTTTGTTTCTAGTACTCACTGCACAATGACGTAGAATATTTCATGTACTCTACGTGGTCCTTAAACTTGTCCTTTAAAAATAAGAGGAGCCAATAAGACGATCACTCAGGTCCCTTTAATTTCTGCTTTGAATATTTTCAGCTATGAGTAGAAACCACTATACTTGGCAAGACTGACTTGAAAAAACATGACTGATATGATTTACCTAGATGAAAGAGTTGAGAGCAGCTTTGAGGCTCTGAGCGAGTAGCTGGGAGGAATTCTAAGAATGAGAGCTTGGCAAAAATAGGGGCTGTGTATTTTATGAAGAAATAAAAAATACACTTTACATTAGTAAACATTGATTCTTGTCTGTTCTTTTAGTACGACACGCTTCAATCTGGTAGCCAAATGTGGTTAATGAGCATTTGAAATGTGGCTCCTCTGAATTAAAATGTGACTTGAGTGCAAAATAAACATCAGATTTCACAGGCAGTATCAATAAATGAATGTAAAACATCTCATTAATAATTTTAACATAAAGTTCATGCAGAAGCCATAACCTTTGGATATATTATTTAGTATACTATGTTACCAAATTTATTTGATTGGTTTCCTTTTACTTTTTTTAGTTTTGATATAAGAATATTTTAAATTAGTTATGTCATTTTCATTGTATTTCAAACTAGATACACTGTTTTAGTAGTGTTAAAATTAATTCTGAATATTATAGCTGTAATGAAAATTCTGTTTTTACTTGTTTTAACACTTAGGAAGAATTTTTATTTCCTATTTTGAGTTGTTTTGTTTGTTTAGTTTTTTTTTTTTTTAAAGAAGCACAGCAGGAACAAATATGAAAACTAACTATATAATAATAAATTTATTTCTAGAGAATATTTCTCATATTTATGAATAAATACTAATGATAATTTGAAATTTTTTTCAATACAGTCATTCACTGGAAATATATTAAGCTAAATAAAAAATGAGAAAAATATATGTTAGCTATTTTAACTCTTCATAATTTGCATTTTGTATTTGTTCCTCTGACCAAAACATTTATATAATGCAGTTTAAATTATCATGCTAGACTAAAATGAACATTGATTCATGTTTTCTTTATAATGTTGTTGACACATGAGTACTGAAAAATCAAGTATGAATTCTACTAATGAAAGTATTTCTTTTAGTTAATGTAAGTTTCCTCACTAATCTTTTTAACATTCCCGGGGAAGAATGACAGCAATGATTATTTACTAACTGGCATGTATTAACTATTTCATTTTCTACAAACTAAATTCCTACATGAATCTTGTAATAAAATCACTAGCTTCTATTTTGCAATCGTAGACAGATTTTGTGACCACAGTGCTAGGTGCAAGTAACTTTTATACATAGAGGATCAAAATTAAATCCATCTTGTCTCACCTTCCAGTTTGCTTCAGTCATTGAGAAAATTAATAAGTCACTTATTATTTTCCAAATCCATCTACTGTACTGTTTATCTCATTTGGCCCAAAACCCAGGGGTAATAGCTGTACTATTAAAAAAGGAGTTAATCTTTATCTATGCTTGGTATTGACTTAATTGTTTTCTTTTATGTGTTTATTAATATGATCTTCCCAACACTTCTATCAGGTACACATTTTTATCTTCAGGGCACAGGAAGTTTTAGTGCCTTCTCTCTTATTTTAAAGTCAGAATTCACAGAAGTAAATTTGAACATGGGAATTTGTCTGAAATTCCATGATCTTAATCACTTTGTTACACTGATTCTTGGAAATACAAATATTACTTGATATGTCCCTACAATTTTTCTAATGGCTCAAATATCCATGAATATTTTATAAGTATTAATAATTAGAATGAATTATTAGTTGAAATGCTTAGTAATTATTAGTAAATGCTAATTAACTTCTATATAGTTGAAATCAGAGAGATAGTTCATATTCATTTTATAGATATTTCATTCAATGACAAATATACAGAGAATATTTTCATTTCTTGAATGATGTGCAGGACAAATGACATCAGCACTTGTTACTATACCAGTAATAAACTTGGATATTTCTGTCTAATTAGAAGAACATTTATCACACAATGATTCTTTTGTAGTATACTACCAGTTATTGTTATTTTTCAGTGTATCATATGACATTGTTTAAGTGATTTCTTATTGTAATTTGAATATATAGGCCTACAATGTTTTAAATATTATGTTCTTTCCTCCATTACCTTTTCCCTTTCCTTTCCATGTTAACATAATTAGAAGTTATTTTATAGCTCTGTCAGAATTGTTAAAATATTTAGAGCTTTAAAATATTAATCAGAAATCATTACATATTCATTTAAAGACTTTCTGTCTAAGTGACAGGAAGGGAAATGAAAAATGAAATATCTCCCATAAAGCAATTGAAAGAAAATAAAACTGTCTATAAAATATCCATTACATGAAATGAATCCCCATGGTCTTCTGGACTTGAACTCACCACACTTCTTCATGATGAACATTATTTTGTCTTTTTAAGTCAAAATTGTATAGTTTTTAAGTCCAGAGTTTTAACTTAGTTTAAAATTTATCTTTATAATTAATCAACTTCAAGCACTAAATTTATGACGTACTGAAAACTTTACTCTCACGTCAAAACTGTGTATGGATAAACCCTGCTATAAAGATTATTCATGTATATTGATATGGTTATTTGGCTTTTATTCCCAATTCAAATACATTTTTTCATTAGAGAAATTTTATGTCTCTATAATTTCTTTCCTAGTAATCATATTCAACTATCATGGTTGTTAGCCTGCCCTAACATTTATTAATAACTACTTTCATTTCATATGAAGAATGGATAATCTTAATATGTATTCCTTCCTTTGTATAAGGGCTTGCCATTTGTGATATTTTTATTTCAAAACAAATGCTAGAAGGGAAAAGAGCAAACAATTTGATTGCCAATTTGTTCCATAAATTTCTACATCTCTCAGCATTCCATCTTCACAAATAAGCTCTCCTAGGTAGAAGGATATTGCTATTGTTGGAATGTTTGGGTCCTCACAAAATTCTTATGTTAAAATCCTAACCCCCAAGATGATTGTCTTAAGATGTAGGACTTTCGGAAGCTATTATTTTATGAGGGAAATACTGCCCTTATAAAAAATGCGCCTTTTACCACACAAGCATGCAGCCAGAAGACACTGTCTATGAGTGACAGGCCCTCGTCGAACACCAAATCTGTCAGTACCTTAACCTTGGACATTGCAGCCTCCAGAACTAACAGAAATAAATGTTTGTTTATAAGCTATCTAGTTTATGATACTTTGTTATAGCAGCCTGGACAGACTAACACAGAACCATACTTACAAGATGGTAAAAGGATAAACAATTTACCCACGTTCAACAATTGCAAGTGGATATATAATGACTTAAATGTAGAAATAACTGTCTTTGATTTTTCTATTTACCACACTACATTTCAGCAATCCAACCTATCTCCACTAAGGCCGTGAAACCAGGAGCTTGGATGATCATTATCTCAAAATAGAGTTTAGGATCTTTCTCTTCCCATTTGTGCCCCTTGAGAAGAAGAATGAATGTTTGCCAAGACCAAGACCCAAATGTAAAAGTGAAGCATGAAGTGAGAGAGTGGAAATGTTGGTATCATGAATTTGTATTTATCAGTCACTATAAACATTAGACTTGGATACACCCAAATCAATCCCCATCTCTCCCTTTTATCCGTTTCTAAACTGTTTCCACCACACATACCCTTCAGAATGGTCTCTATATTCGCTTCTCTGGACACTCTGTTCAAGGGATAGCTACTCTATTTGTTTGTTTTTAACTTTCCCCCAGCCTTATTGGAATATAATTGATATACAATAATCTGCCCGTGTAAAGTGCACAATGTGGAAGATGTGTACTAGAGTGGATCAATCAACACTATCAAGGTATCAAATACATGAATCTTCCTCACAAGTTTCCTCAAGCTCCTACAGTCGTAATTTCTTCCTCTTACACTTGCATCTCCCAAGAAACTGCTGATCTGCTTTCTGTCAATTAATTGCTTTATTATATTTTATTTTACTTTTTTTTTGTAGCCTTTGTATGACTACACCTTGGAGTAAGTCATTGCAACTTACATTCTCTCTACGTTCTCTTTGTCCTGAATTTTTAAAAAATTGTCCCTTTCATTTGTTTAACAGTGTCCTCTGAAAAATCTCCTGTTTATTTTGATGTCTTTGTACTTTTAAGCAAAGAGAATTTTTTTAGATCCAAAGTGAGTGAGGAAAAATGTGCCCTCTTTCAGCTTGTTCTTGAAATTTCTCTCTGAGAGTTTGGTATTGATGGCTTCCCTGTCTCACACACAGATGCAGGTGTCCCGATGCTTAACTCATCCAATGTGTATTCTCTTCCTCTCATGACCTAGCTCTTAGACAATGAGAATAGGTGGCAACCATAACAAAGACCATGTTTCATTTATGTCTTGCTGCTAAGCCTCTTCCTTTCTCTGGTTCACTTCCTATTATTTGTAGGGACAGTGCTTTCTGGGATGCAAAGTAGCTTTACCAGTCTTCCCTTATTCACTGTCTATTCATTTGAGCTGTGAATCACTCATTAGTCATCAACGCACTTTTTAACGTTTATAAATTTTATGGTTAGGGGAAACCAGTCTGAAATTGTAAGAAGGTAACTGTCACTCAGTCCTCAGGTAGTACATTTTGTATGTTTGATATATCTTCTCCCCACTCTGGATATTTTAGAAGTACCATACACTGTGTCACGTATCGCTGTTCAAATAACATTTGAAAGATGAAATCTTAAAAACAACATTGTATACTATTATTTTGGGTGGATGTGGGCAATTTGATAGTTCCCTCACTCTTTCTAGTGCTAAAAGGAATGTGTTGGAAAGTGGTTTCAATAAGCCACAGATGTTTGATTCAAATATCCATTTCAGTCATTACTGTTTATACTACATGTGCACACATTACACTTCGTAAGTTTCACCACACATAATCACAGAAACTGAGTATCTTATATAAATATAAATATCATATATATGTATAAGCACAATTTTAATTTAAAATGCATCCTAACAAGCATCTAATGATTAATAACTTTCAAATGTTTTCTTGATGGCAGAAAATATTTCAATTACTTCAAATAAAACACAACAATTTACTTATATATTAAAACATATTTTAATTTTTATGAGATTATAAAAGATAGTGAAAGGGTTCTTGCATAGCCTAAATATAACCTAAATTTCCCAAAGAGTAATTGGTTCTATTACATGCCCTAAAAAGAGGGGTGTACTCACACAAGATTTTAGATCTCTTTGAGCATGAAACTCATTTGAATTAATAAAGGAACAATTGTTCCTCTCTGTTGCTAAATGTATTGCCTAATTAGAGAATGAATAAAATGTCATAGCAAAGAGAGTGATATTTGTTTAACAAGAAATCATTAACATGTCTGTTCCAATTGGACTCAGAAAAGTCTATGGAATTGAATTTGTTTGGTAATCTATCAACTATGCCAATTCACTTTAATTCACATACCAAGTGAAAAAAAGCCACACATTATCGCCTAAAAATATATAATTACCAAAAACAATAGGTAAGACAAAACTTTACAAAATAATTACATTTTGTTCACATCTCATTCCTATGGAGATAGTTAGCCGGGCAGTCATTTATAAGAAGAGGTTTGCTTATAAATTTTAGTATATTTAAGGCCTAGATTAATTATTAAAACTCTTAGCTATTTTCTCTGATTAAGATCAGTGATTACTTATCAAATTGTTATCAGCAGAATATGCAATCATTTATTTTTACCACAAAACTTAAACATTTACTTTAAATTATTTTTAAGAATTGATGGTGGATATAAATGCCATTATGATTTTACTTCTGTTTCCAATATTTACTTTGTTACCTAATTAAACTTAACCAGAAGATCAGACAAGTCTTAGGTAGGGTTACAGGGATAAAGTGTTTTTTAGTAAGCCTATAATTTTCTTCTCATCCTTAAAAACCAGATACCTTACCCGGCGTCTTCCTCCATGTTCGTAGCCTGGGATCATCAGGCTGCTCTCTTTCCTCAAGGCTCTTTCTTATGTTTCCCACATTTATGTGTCCTGTCTGCTGCAACATTTGCTCGGTATATTTCAGGATTTTTTTCAACTAGCGAACTAATAGATTCTTTCTCTGTCTCCTTTAAATTTATATTTTGCATTTTCTCACAATTCTTCGTTTCTTACACTACCACTGCCAACATTAAAGGTTTTCTGCGTTAACACAATTTTAGCATCTTTTTCTTTTTCCTTCCATTTTTCTTCCTTTTTATTTTTTTAATTTTTTTCATAGATCTTCAAAATCTGCATCTAATGAACAGTGTAATGTGGGAGTTTCAGGTACTACAACAAAAACCATCAAAACATATTTTAGAGCCAGAAATTGCCAGTGGAATTGAAACATTCATTGAAAACATATGACTATTCCACATTTGCAAACATTATAATAGATGAGTTTCTGAATGGAATAAACAAAGTGTGACAATAGCCTCTATAAGTGGTTTTGCACTTCCCATTTTACAAAGTTCTTTCTTGTGCTTGTTGTTGTTCATTGCTCTTTTTTTACAAAGGTTATTATTGCAATTTAAGGACCACTTCAGTGTTTTATCTGGTAGCATCATCATTCAGAAGTCTTCCTTAAATCTAAGTACATGACAAAGCCTTCCTATGTCACATAAATTGAGGTGAAATTTCTGGCTTTATTAATTTTATTTCCAGTGTTCGAGAAACTCAGTTAAGTTCACGTAAGAGTTAAAATAATATTACCATTATGAAAGTATTCATTGGCATCACAACGCAGTCAGGAAATATAGACACAAATCAATATTTTTCAGATAATCCCATACACATTCGGCAAAATCAAATTTACAAATTGAGAAGTTTGGGTGAAAACACCTCCAATTTTTGTGAACATAGTTCTCATAAATTTTACAATCCACTCGAATGAAGGTAATGCATACACAGATAAGTACGATATAACAGACACTATGAAAATCCCTGCAATGGAGGCATTAACAAGGTAAGATGAGAGTGAAGATGATAGAGAAATTGATTTTTTTCCTTAGTAAATCAACTATATTTTCTGAGTCAGCAAACAAAACAGATCCATACAGAAGAAGGTATGCCACGTGGCACAATAAACTCATTGCTTAGTGAAGATTAAGAGCAATAAGCAGGAACAGTTCATGGAGAGAAAGCAATTATGAGTGAAGAAAATAAGGGTTAATGAAAGGAATGTTTCAGAAGAACTATGATGTGCGAATACTGTTTAAACTGAAAATGTTAAAAACAACAAGAACAAAACTAATTGTTTATAGAGTTTCTATCAAGCATGTTGTTACATTGTGTTGTTGTATTACCATGATCACGTATTAATTCATTTAAAAATGTTGAAAACAGAGAAGCTACATAAAAATTAAACTGTATTTTAAATGTATTTATAAACTCTAGTAGGTTTGATAGCTTCAGTTGTTAGGAACAGGCACCCCAAAATCTGGCTAAACTGGCCCCAAAACTGGCCATAAACAAAATCTCTGCAGCACTGTGACATGTTCATGATGGCCATAACACCCAGGCTGGAAGCTTGTGGGTTTACTGGAATGAGGGCAAGGAACACCCAGACTGCCTAGGGCGGAAAACCGCTTAAAGGCGTCCTTAAACCATAAACAATAGCATAAGAGATCTGTGCCTTAAAAGCATGTTCCTGCTGCAGATAAGTAGCCAGACCCACCCCTTTATTTCAGCCCATCCCTTCGTTTCCCATAAGGGATACTTTTAGTTAATTGAATATCTATAGAAACAATGCTAATGACTGGCTTGCTGTTAATAAATACGTGGGTAAATCTCTGTTTGGCGCTCTTAGCTCTGAAGGCTGTGAGACCCCTGATTTCCCACTTCACACCTCTATATTTCTGTGTGTGTGTCTTTAATTCCTCTGGCGCCACTGGGTTAGGGTCTCCCCGACCTAGCTGGCCTCGGCATTCAATGAATTTATGAAATAAGAAAGATGGAAAATAAAGAAAGTTGATACTTTTATATAAATGCCTTCCACATATTTCTAAGAACTGTGTAGATGATGTAAAAATCAAGTGTCATTTACATTTAATATATTGTCATCTCTCTGTAAACTTCAGAGTTTGGCAGAGGGGCCACCATATGGCTGGGTATTCAGGTATTCCTTGATTACCATCTTTATAACATTATCTTTGATTTTAATTTCAGTAGCTTTATTAGGAAAAGCAGTTTTTAGTGACATGGATGAATTGAACAGTGGTGAAGTCTGAAATTTTAGTGTACCCATCACCTGAGCAGTGTACACAGTACCCAATATGTAGTTTCTCAGCCCTCACCTCACTCCCCAACTCTACCCCATATAATATTTTCTTAATGCTATTTTCTCCACTACTTGGCTCTAAAAATCCAAAAGTTACTTGCCTCTTCCAACATATTTCTCCATACTATTTCACCTACTAAATTAAAAAATGAAATGTTAAACTAGAAATGTTATTCTAAACAATATATAATTTTATTTTGACAATCTATTTATATTTATTTTATATTTATTTTTGCAGGGAATATTGAGATGATTTAAATACAATGGTTTTTGCTTGAATCAGGAAGTTATTCTTTTTCAGCATTATTCTTCAGTATATGTTTAGATTATAGAACTTTTTAAAATTTGGCTTATTTATTCTTTATGAAAAAAGAGAATTAGTTTCAAGAAAATTTAAAAAAATTTTTCTTTCAAGGTACGTTTAAAGAATTCCTTTCTCTTATGAAAGGAAATTGATTGCATTTTTTAGGTTTTTTAGTGTATAAGTTTAAATTGTGCAACATGATGTTTTGATATAGATATACACAGTGAAGTGATTACTTCAGTCAAACAAATTATCTCATTCTCTCACATAGTTGATTTTCTCCTGTGTGTATGTGGTGAGAGTACCTTATAGTTGCAGTTATATAGAATAAAAGTAATTTTTACATACAGAAACATATGGAGGAAAAAAAATATACATGTTACTTACCATCTAATGTCCATATGTTATATAGCATTCAGTGTTTCCTAACTTTATGCTTTCAAGATCTACCTATGCTGATATGTTTCGTGCTTTTACAATGTGTTTCTATTTAAATACTAAAAAAAAAAAAAGGTAAACTAGGTCATCCAATTCATGTTTCACTATCAGTACTATACCACATTTAATCTTGAAAATAACATATAACTTTGGGGGAGGGGGGAGGGATAGCATCAGGAGATATACCTAATGCTAAATGACCAGTTAATGGGTGCAGCACACCAACATGGCACATGTATACATATGTAACAAACCTGCACGTTGTGCACATGTACCCTAAAACTTAAAGTATAATAATAAAATTTAAAAAAATAACATATAACAATATAACAAGTATTTAATTGCTAATATTGTACATACAACAAGGAGAAAATGCCTTTTCTATTCATTTTAAGGCTTTCCTAAAGTATAATGCAGGGATTTTCTTTCCTCACATCTTATCCAAGTTCTGTTGACCATTGCTGTGATTTGAAAGTTTGTCCTTTCCAAAATCAATGTTGATCAATGTTGAAAATCAGTTGCCATTGTGATGGTATTGGGAGGTGGGGCCTTTAAGATGTGCTTAGGTCATGAGGGCTTGACCCTCATGAATGAACTAACATCTTTACAGTGGGAATGGATACCTTATATCAGGAGTGAGTTTACCTGCTCCTGCCCTCTCACACTCTCTCTTTGCCCTTCTGCCATGAGATGACTTCTGCCAAGTCATGCAGCAAGAAGGTACTCGCCAGAGGCTAGCTCATTGATCTTGGGTTTCCCAGTCTCCAGAACACTGAGCTAACAATGTTCTGTTCATTGTAAGTTACCCAGTCTTTTGTATTCTGTTATAGCAGCACAAAATGGACTAAGACAACTGCCTTATTTATAATTTCCCCCCTTGGTAATGCACAGTACAGAATACTTTTTAATCAGAGTATGGATTTGCAAAGATGTAATATGAAATGTCTCTCTTACATCCTAAACATGAAGATTTCATGTACTCTTAAATGTTTTTTTTCCAATATTCTGAAGCAGGTAGAATACTCCAGTTTTTATTGTGAATGATCACACAATTAACAGCATATAACCCCATGAGAAAATGCTCATAAGATCCACAGGCAACACAAGGATCAAGCAAAGCTTTACTGAGGAAATGATATTAGAAATTTAAATCTATATTATCATATACTCAGATTCTTTATTTATTTATTTATTATTATTATACTTTAAGTTTTAGGGTACATGTGCACAATGTGCAGGTTAGTTACATATGTATACATGTGCCATGCTGGTGCGCTGCACCCACCAACTCATCTAGCATTAGGTATATCTCCCAATGCTATCCCTCCCCCCACCCCACAACAGACCCCAGAGTGTGATGTTCCCCTTCCTGTGTCCATGTGTTCTCATTGTTCAATTCCCACCTATGAGTGAGAATATGCAGTGTTTGGTTTTTTGTTCTTGTGATAGTTTACTGAGAATGATGATTTCCAATTTCATCCATGTCCCTACAAAGGACATGAACTCAACATTTTTTATGGCTGCATAGTATTCCATGGTGTATATGTGCCACATTTTCTTAATCCAGTCTATCATTGTTGGACATTTGGGTTGGTTCCAAGTCTTTGCTATTGTGAATAGTGCCGCAATAAACATACGTGTGCATGTGTCTTTATAGCAGCATGATTTATAGTCCTTTGGGTATATACCCAGTAATGGGATGGCTGGGTCAAATGGTATTTCTAGTTCTAGATCCCTGAGGAATCGCCACACTGACTTCCACAATGGTTGAACTAGTTTACAGTCCCACCAACAGTGTACAAGTGTTCCTGTTTCTCCACATCCTCCCCAGCACCTGTTGTTTCCTGACTTTTTAATGATTGCCATTCTAACTGGTGTGAGATGGTATCTCATTGCGGTTTTGATATGCATTTCTCTGATGGCCAGTGATGGTGAGCATTTTTTCATGTGTTTTTTGGCTTCATAAATGTCTTCTTTTGAGAAGTGTCTGTTCATGTCCTTCGCCCACTTTTTCATGGGGTTGTTTGTTTTTTTCTTGTAAATTTGTTTGAGTTCATTGTGGATTCTGGATATTACCCCTTTGTCAGATGAGTAGGTTGTGAAAATTTTCTCCCATTGTGTAGGTTGCCTGTTCACTCTGATGGTAGTTTCTTTTGCTGTGCAGAAGCTCTTTAGTTTAATGAGATCCCATTTGTCAATTTTGGCTTTGGTTACCATTGCTTTTGGTGTTTTAGACATGAAGTCCTTGCCCATGCCTATGTCCTGAATGGTAATGCCTAGGTTTTCTTCTAGAGTTTTTATGGTTTTAGGTCTAACGTTTAATTCTTTAATCCATCTTGAATTGATTTTTGTATAAGGTGTAAGGAAGGGATCCAGTTTCAGCTTTCTACATATGGCTAGCCAGTTTTCTCAGCACCATTTATTAAATAGGGAATCCTTTCACCATTGCTTGTTTTTCTCAGGTTTGTCAAAGATCAGGTAGTTGTAGATATGCAGCGTTATTTCTGAGGGCTCTGTTCTGTTCCTTTGATCTATATCTCTTTTTTTGGTACCAGTACCATGCTGTTTTGGTTACTGTAGCCTTGTGGTATAGTTTGAAGTCAGGTAGTGTGATGCCTCCAGCTTTGTTCTTTTGGCTTAGGATTGACTTGGCAATGTGGGCTCTTTTTTGGTTCCATATGAACTTTAAAGTAGGTTTTTCCAATTCTGTGAAGAAAGTGATTGGTAGCTTGATGGGGATGGCATTGAATCTGTAAATTACCTTGGGCAGTATGGCCATTTTCACGATATTGATTCTTCCTACCCATGAGCATGGAATGTTCTTCTATTTGTTTATATCCTCTTTTATTTCCTTGAGCAGTGGTTTGTAGTTCTCCTTGAAGAGGTCCTTCACATCCCTTGTAAGTTGGATTCCTAGGTATTTTATTCTCTTTGAAGCAATTGTGAATGGGAGTTCACTCATGATTTGGCTCTCTGTTTGTCTGTTGTTGGTGCATAAGAATGCTTGTGATTTTTGTACATTGATTTTGTATCCTGAGACTTTGCTGAAGTTGCTTATCAGCTTAAGGAGATTTTTGGGCTGAGACAATGGGGTTTTCTAGATATACAATCATGTCATCTGCAAACAGGGACAATTTGACTTCCTCTTTTCCTAATTGAAAACCCTTTATTTCCTTCTCCTGCCTAACTGCCCTGGCCAGAACTTCCAACACTATGTTGAATAGGAGTGGTGAGAGAAGGCATCCCTGTCTTGTGCCAGTTTTCAAAGAGAATGCTTCCAGTTTTTGCCCATTCAGTATGATATTGGCTGTGGGTTTGTCACAGATAGCTCTTATTATTTTGAGATATGTCCCATCAATACCTAATTTATTGAGAGTTTTTAGCATGAAGGGCTGTTGAATTTTGTCAAAGGCCTTTTCTGCATCTATTGATAATCATGTGGTTTTTGTCTTTGGTTCTGTTTATATGCTGGATTACATTTATTGATTTGCATATGTTGAACCAGCCTTGCATCCCAGGGATGAAGCCCACTTGATCATGGTGGATAAGCTTTTTGATGTGCTGCTGGATTCGGTTTGCCAGTATTTTATTGAGGATTTTTGCATCGGTATTCATCAGGGATATTGGTCTAAACTTCTCTTTTTTGGTTGTGTCTCTGCCTGGCTTTGGTATCAGGATGATGCTGGCCTCATTAAATGAGTTAGGGAGGATTCCCTCTTTTTCTGTTGATTGGAATAGTTTCAGAAGGAATGGTACCAGTTCCTCCTTGTACCTCTGGTAGAATTCGGCTGTGAATCCATCTGGTCCTGGACTCTTTTTGGTTGGTAAGCTATTGATTATTGCCACAATTTCAGCTCCTGTTATTGGTCTATTCAGAGATTCAACTTCTTCCTGGTTTAGTCTTGGGAGAGTGTATGTGTCGAGGAATTTATCCATTTCTTCCAGATTTTCTAGTTTATTTGCATAGAGGTGTTTGTAGTATTCTCTGATGGTAGTTTGTATTTCTGTGGGATCGGTGGTGATATCCCCTTTATCATTTTTTATTGCGTCTATTTGATTCTTCTTTTTTTCTTTATTAGTCTTGCTAGCAGTCTATCAATTTTGTTGATCCTTTCAAAAAACCAGCTCCTGGATTCATTAATTTTTTGAAGGGTTTTTTGTGTCTCTATTTCCTTCAGTTCTGCTGTGATTTTAGTTATTTCTTGCCTTCTGCTAGCTTTTGAATGTGTTTCCTCTTGCTTTTCTAGTTCTTTTAATTGTGATGTTAGTGTGTCAATTTTGGATCTTTCCTGCTTTCTCTTGTGGGCATTTAGTGGTATAAATTTCCCTCTACACACTCCTTTGAATGTGTCCCAGAGATTCTGGTATGTTGTGTCTTTGTTCTCGTTGGTTTCAAAGAACATCTTTATTTCTGCCTTCATTTCGTTATGTACCCAGTAGTCATTCAGGAGCAGGTTGTTCAGTTTCCATGTAGTTGAGTGGTTTTGAGTGAGATTCTTAATCCTGAGTTCTAGTTTGATTGCACTGTGGTCTGAGAGATAGTTTGTTATAATTTCTGTTCTTTTACATTTGCTGAGGAGAGCTTTACTTCCAAGTATGTGGTCAATTTTGGAATAGGTGTGGTGTGGTGCTGAAAAAAATGTATATTCTGTTGATTTGGGGTGGAGAGTTCTGTAGATGTCTATTAGGTCTGCTTGGTGCAGAGCTGAGTTCAATTCCTGGGTATCCTTGTTGACTTTCTGTCTCGTTGATCTGTCTAATGTTGACAGTGGGGTGTTAAAGTCTCCCATTATTAATGTGTGGGAGTCTAAGTCTCTTTGTAGGTCACTCAGGACTTGCTTTATGAATGTGGGTGCTCCTGTATTGGATGCATATATATTTAGGATAGTTAGCTCTTCTTGTTGAATTGATCCCTTTACCATTTTGTAATGGCCTTCTTTGTCTCTTTTGATCTTTGTTGGTTTAAAGTCTGTTTTATCAGAGACTAGGATTGCAACCCCTGCCTTTTTTTGTTTTCCATTTGCTTGGTAGATCTTCCTCCATCCTTTTATTTTGAGCCTATGTGTGTCTCTGCACGTGAGATGGGTTTCCTGAATACAGCACACTGATGGGTCTTGACTCTTTATCCAATTTGCCAGTCTGTGTCTTTTAATTGGAGAATTTAGTCCATTTACATTTAAAGTTAATATTGTTATGTGTGAACTTGATCCTGTCATTATGATGTTAGCTGGTTATTTTGCTTGTTAGTTCATGCAGTTTCTTCCTAGTCTCAACGGTCTTTACATTTTGGCATGATTTTGCAGCGGCTGGTACCGGTTGTTCCTTTCCATGTTTAGAGCTTCCTTCAGGAGCTCTTTTAGGGCAGGCCTGGTGGTGACAAAATCTCTCAGCATTTGCTTGTCTGTAAAGTATTTTATTTCTCCTTCACTTATGAAGCTTAGTTTGGCTGGATATGAAATTCTGGGTTGAAAATTCTTTTCTTTAAGAATGTTGAATATTGGCCCCCACTCTCTTCTGGCTTGTAGGGTTTCTGCCGAGAGATCCGCTGTTAATCTGATGGGCTTCCCTTTGTGGGTAACCCGACCTTTCTCTCTGGCTGCCCTTAACATTTTTTCCTTCATTTCAACTTTGGTGAATCTGACAATTATGTGTCTTGGAGTTGCTCTTCTCGAGGAGTATCTTTGTGGCATTCTCTGTATTTCCTGAATCTGAATGTTGGCCTGCCTTGCTAGATTGGGGAAGTTCTCCTGGATAATATCTTGCAGAGTGTCTTCTAACTTGGTTCCATTCTCCCCGTCACTTTCAGGTACACCAATCAGACGTAGATTTGGTCTTTTCACATAGTCCCATATTTCTTGGAGGCTTTGCTCATTTCTTTTTATTCTTTTTTTCTCTAAACTTCCCTTCTCGCTTCATTTCATTCACTTCATCTTCCATCACTGATAACCTTTCTTCCAGTTGATTGCATCGGCACCTGAGGCTTCTGCGTTCTTTACGTAGTTCTTGAGCCTTGGTTTTCAGCTCCATTAGCTCCTTTAAGCACTTCTCTGTATTGGTTATTCTAGTTATACATTCTTCTAAACTTTTTTCAAAGTTTTCAACTTCTTTGCCTTTGGTTTGAATGTCCTCCCGTAGCTCAGAGTAATTTGATCGTCTGAAGCCTTCTTCTCTCAGCTTGTCAAAGTCATTCTCCATCCAGCTTTGTTCCGTTGCTGGTGAGGAACTGCATTCCTTTGGAGGAGGAGAGGCGCTCTGTTTTTTAGAGTTTCCAGTTTTTCTGCTCTGTTTTTTCCCCATCTTTGTGGTTTTATCTACTTTTGGTCTTTGATGATGGTGATGTACAGATGGGTTTTTGGTGTGGATGTCCTTTGTGTTTGTTAGTTTTCCTTCTAACAGACAGGACCCTCAGCTGCAGGTCTGCTGGAGTACCCGGCCATGTGAGGTGTCAGTCTGCCCCTGCTGGGGGGTGCCTCCCAGTTAGGCTGCTCGGGGGTCAGGGGTCAGGGACCCGCTTAGGAGGCAGTCTGCCTGTTCTCAGATCTCCAGCTGCATGCTGGGAGAACCACTGCTCTCTTCAAAGCTGTCAGACAGGGACATTTAAGTCTGCAGAGGTTACTGCTGTCTTTTTGTTTGTCTGTGCCTGCCCCCAGAGGTGGAGCCTACAGAGGCAGGCAGGCCTCCTTGAGCTGTGGTGGGCTCCACCCAGTTCCAGCTTCCTGGCTGCTTTGTTTACCTAAGCAAGCCTGGGCAATGGCGGGCGCCCCTCCCCCAGCCTCGCTGCCGCCTTGCAGTTTGATCTCAGACTGCTGTGCTAGCAATCAGTGAGACTCCATGGGCATAGGACCCTCGGATGCCATGTGCGGGATATAATCTCCTGGTGCACCGTTTTTTGAGCCTGTCAGAAAAGCGCAGTATTCGGGTGGGAGTGACCCTATTTTCCAGGTGCCGTCTGTCACCCCTTTCTTTGACTAGGAAAGGGAACTCCCTGACCCCTTGTGCTTCCCGAGTGAGGCAATGCCTCGCCCTGCTTCAGCTCGTGCACGGTGCGCGCACCCACTGACCTGCGCCCACTCTCTGGCACTCCCTAGTGAGATGAACCCGGTACCTCAGATGGAAATGCAGAAATCACCTGTCTTCTGCATCACTCATGCTGGGAGCTGTAGACCAGAGCTGTTCCTATTCGGCCATCTTGGCTCCTCCTCTGATGATGGATTCTTCTAGACTCAGATTCTTACAAAGGTCAGATGGATCATGTAAATGAATGGATGACGCAGTGATGCTTAAGGCAACTTAGAGTGCTGGAAATTAAGATCTAAAACATAACAGAGACTCTCATCAGCTTTGGATTTTTAAAATGTCATGAGTATTAGGGCCCTATTTTGCCAGGTATTTGAATTTTTCAAGACAAATTTGACATATTAATGTGTACATGATATACTGTAAATTACATGTTGGTAGTTAATTCAAACTAAACCAAACTACAAGGCAATAGAGTATATCTCTAGGTCAAGTAAAATCTGTTGGTTTGGGTCTTCTCTTGTAAGGAAAGATTGAAATTGGACTCCACAACGATGTGCCAGGAGATAATTTCAAGCCAAAAAATATGCAGTATGGCTAGACATGAAAAATTATACCAAACATTAGAGTTACTGAAAGATTAGAAAAGACAGAATAATGTCAAGAAAATACAAAATGCAATTAGAGGGCAGTTGTGGTGGCTCATGCCTGTAATTCTAGCACTTTTGAAGGCTGAGGCAGGTGGATTGCTTGAGCCCAGGAGTTCAAGACCAGCCTCAGCAATCTGGTGAAACCCTGTCTGCACTAAAAATACAAAATTTAGGTGGGCACAATGGTGCACACCTATAATTCCAGTTACTTGGGAGGCCAAGGCACAAGAATCCCTTTAACCCAGGAGGCAGAGGTTGCAGTGAGCCAAGATCACACCACTGCACTCCAGCCTGGATGACAGAGTGAGACTTGGTCTCAAAAAAAAAAAAAAGCAGTTGGAGAGAAAAGAGCCAAATCATTCAAGTTACTTTAGGCTACAATGAGAAATGTTTTAAATTAATCATAAACATTGCATTGCATCTTAAAAAAATCTTTATGATATATTCATGAGAATCGATATTTACATCAATTGACATTTATGGGTGAAAACAATATATAATATAAATATTTTTAAATGTATTCACCCAAAATAAATCAAAACTTGTATTTATCCAATAAAGTAAATTATTATAAATTGGTATATAATTAACTAAGTATAATTCAGATGATATAAAACATAGATATAATTTATAAACATTTAAGTTTAGATTATATCGGTGTCTAGAAAGTGTTTGAAATTATTATTTTTGTCTTCCTCACAAACATGATCATCACTAGCAACAAATGCATAACACATACAGGACAAATTAAAATTTAAAATAACGTGTTTTAAATCACTTGATTTTTCAATTCATAGTAAAGAATTACTTTTTATGCCACTTTTCAATTATTACTTACAATTTTTTTAAATTAGTCCATATGAAATTAGCAGATTGACAATTTTCAAAGGGAGAATATATTTATTGTTCTTATTTGAAAACTCAGCACTTAAGACAATAAAAAGGCTTTAAACAATTTCATTTCCAACTTCCAATGCATCGGTAAACTTAAAAACATTCACTATTTCCTCAGAGTAATCACTGTTGAAATGATACTACTACTTCAATATATTTCTTGATTTCCTTAAAATATATTAATTATTCTCATTTCTTCTTTACAATCAGTTGATTATTATTCTGTTCAAAAAGCCGGTCTTTGGTTTTACTTCTAAATTCTAGTGGTTATTTATTTTTTGAGTTTGTTATAGCAGATTACTTCCAACTTTCATCTTTGTTGATCCCTGCTTTATTTATAATATTGTTTACTATCATATATTACTTATTTTAATTTCTTAGTTCTTTTAGTGTCTAGCTTAATAATAAAAGTATGCTTTCACAAATAAAATTTTCTCAATAGTATAATTTTTTTCTTTGAGTACAGCTTTGAATATTTTAGGTCTTGTGAAATTGTTATTGTTGTTAACAGATAAATTGTTTGTTTTTAGTTAAAGTTTGATGTACTTTTGGGTCCAATATGTGTTTTGCAGGCTTGGGACAAATATATAGTTGAATACGTTTACTTTTTGTTTGTTTTATTGCTCTTCTAGTTTGTATTAATTATTACCTTGTTTAACTGTAAAGTCACATAATGTGGTCTGTGAGACACTTTTTAAGCATTGATTAAGATTTTGTGGTACATGGAAGATTAATTGCTTTTATTGTTCCATGATAAAAAGTTAAGTCTTGTTATATGATTTTAAGTATATTCACGCACCCACACACACACACACGTACATTTATGTCCCATGAGGATATAGAAAATCAGTCAGACCTTTTCTCTCTTTCTAGAGGTTACAGTCTACTTGTTGGATAACTTTGCAGTCAGCTCATAGTTAAGAACCTAATAGATAACACTTATACAGTTCTATAACCTATTATTATATCTGCTTATAAAGTTCTCTAATCTATTTTTTTTAGCAACTCCCACTTTACACCAAGGTTCAGACAGTTCAGTAAAACATTTCAGGTGACAAAGGGTGGGTTGTATATTAGGAAATAGGCATTGTTCTCTTAAGTTTGGACAAGTATTTGAGTATAAGCAGTGACATTTGCTTCCAAATAGATATTAAATTAAATATCTTCTGAGTCTGTGCTGTTGAAAAAAAATTGTTTTATTGAATTGGGAATTGGTGTATTAATTTCCAGTCCAGGGCAATTAAATTTGACCATGTACAATTGTAACTCTACCCTCTGTCTCCAAACCCTATCTCTGATTTAACCCTTGTTAAGGATGCAACTCTATTGCTGCTACTACAACAGCAATCTCTACTGCTATGACAGCAGCTACAACTACCATTATTACTACACACACACACACACACACACACACACACAATAGTTTTGGCTTAAAATTGATTGGAATAACTTTTTCTTTTCATTTTGATCATTGTTTTTATGATAAGCAATCTAAAACTACTTTGCTATTTACCTCAATTAGAGAAATTATCTTTTTAATGCTGTAAATGTAATAGTTTGAGTCGGTGCTACCACTTCATTAGCTTTTTTGATACCATATAATAATATAATCATGGCAGAAAAACTCAGCGATAATGTATTTGAAGTTATGCAAATAAATTAACTAAAGCATTTGTTAAAGCGTGTGTGTGGGTAAATTTCTAGAATTAGTGGATTTTGTTATATTGGTAGTAGTATTCAGCTGTCTGTGAAAAAAGGGTAATAAATGTGACCTTGTATACATGTTCCAAAGCTCTAGTTTTGTTTTTTTTTTGTTTGTTTTTAGACAGAGTCTTGCTCTGTCGCCCAGGCTGGAGTGCAGCGGCGCGATCTCGGCTCACTGCAAGCTCCACCTCCCGGGTTCACGCCATTCTCCTGCCTCAGCCTCCCGAGTAGTGGGGACTACAGGCGCCCGCGACCACGCCCGGCTAATTTTTTGTGTTTTTAGTAGAGACGGGGTTTAACCATGTTAACTAGGATGGTGTCAATCTCCTGACCTTGTGATCCACCTGCCTTGGCCTCCCAAAGTGCTGTGATTACAGGTGTGAGCCACTGCGCCTGGCCACCAAAGCTCTAGTCTTATTAAAACCTGTATATAAGATTGGCTTTGTAATGTGTCTGTTCTCAGTTTTACTTCCATCCTTGTTTAGTCATCTCAATACTTTCCACACTCCTTGAATTTGCCTGTTGTCTTGATTTTGAAACAGGTATGCTAACATTGATGTAGAGAGTTTTACTATATAGTTCTGTTCCAGAGATAGAAACCTACTCAAGGCCTCCTACTCTGTGCCATGCAGATTTATACTCTCAGATCCCAAGTGTAGTTTGCTAACAGTCATTCCACCGTGATCTTTTTTCCAACCACAATTGCTGAGGTCTTGGTTGAGCAAAAAAGGATCACTGCTGTTATTAATTTGTAGTTGTGTTATGTTTTACTTGTCCACTCCTCTAAGAGAGATGTTGACAAAAATCTAAAGTTGGCCTCTGGCATCTGACACTTTAAGAATTATATGGCTGGCCGGGCGTGGTGGCTCACGCCTGTAATCCCAGCACTTTGGGAGGCCAATGCGGGCAGATCACGAGGTCAGGAGTTCGAGACCAGCCTGGCCAACATGGTGAAACCCCGTCTCTACTAAAAATACAAAAACTTAGCTGGGCGTAGTGGCAGCTCCTGTAATCCCAGCTACTCGGGAGGCTGAAGCAGGAGAGTCACTTGAACCCGGGAGGCAGAGGTTGCAGTGAGCTGAGATCGCACCACTGCACTCCAGCCCTGGTGACAGAGTAAGACTCTGTCTAAATCAATCAATCAAAGAATTATATGGCTAAGGTCTGCACTTGAAATGATGCCACTCACAGTACAATTACTATCAGAGATAATGACATAGTTTTTATGACTCTGTATACACACGCAAACACACACACACACGCACACACCTGGGTGTGAATTCTGACTTCTGCTTGCTACTTATTTTGTTAGGTGTTAGACATGAAAAAATATAGTTATTTGGCCAAGGCCATAAAGTCTGTAAGTGGTAGAGCCAAGTTTCACACCCAATTATGGTGGTCCCCAAGTCTTTGCTCTTTGTTTGAAAACACACTGCTTTACTCTAATTTTATGTTGTTTACTTTCCTTCTGCTGAATCCATCTAATAGTTTCCAAATGGCATTATAATAAACTCCAAAATATTTAACAAAGCCCACAAGACCCCATATGCTTCTTTCTGGATCTAGTTCCCTGGTCTCATTGCATAAATTCCTCCCCATCACTTTCTCTGCTCAGCCACATTGGATTGCATTCTGTTTTTTGAGTGTTCCACACTTTTGCCTGTGTCAGAAGATTTGCACGTGCAGTTTCTTTGAGAATTATTTGTCTCTCAGCAGGGTTTTCTGTCCTAGCTCAACCTTTTAAACTCTTACCTTATGATAATTCATCTTTCAAGTCTCAGTGAAACTTGCCAGAAGGCATTGTTTGTTCCTGTCCTGGCTGTGGGCTCACCACTTTTACATGCTTGTGTGATAAATGATTCACCTTCATTTAATATTGTGGATATATGCCTAACACTTAGGTGAGTCTTAGTATATTTCTTTAATTCTAAGAAAAACACTTCTTTTACATTTAAGATACATGGAATTAGACTACTATTTACAACTGGTGTGCACCTGTACAGAGGGAGTTGGTTTAATGATAGTGGTGGCAATTATTTTCCTAAAATGCGATGATCAAATAGTCCTGTCTTATATTTTGAGAGATTTTAGAGTTAAAAGAAAAACCTGCAGTGATATTTTGCAAATAGCACTAAGCAGTCTTCATATATCTTATGAGCTTGTTATCAGCACTATAGAACCTCAGTAAATGAAGAAACTGTAGTCAGGTTGGATGGTGCTAAATACATAACTCGGTGGGAGAATGAACGAATAAATACATCAAGTCCTTTATGCGACTGAACCACCCCTCTGTGACTATTAGCTTGTGCTTGCATACGTCACATAATTCTTGTCGCAGTGCCTTTTACCTCCTCAAATGTCAGTGTCCCTGGTCTTGATGGGGTTTTTATTTGCTAATCTGACCCTCTTATGCTTAGTAGCTCTTAGAAGCCTTCTTTCAAGTCGTCCTGTGGAAGCCTTCTACTGCCCTCTGCTGGCAGCAAATAATGGTTGGGATTAGTTGAGATTCCAGTACTGTCTCAGGACTATTGGGGAAAAAACAAAACAAAGCAAGAAGATACCACCCAGCCAGTCACAGCACTGAAAATATTGTGTCTGATCAGGAAAGAAAGCACTGTATATGTCATATGATTTATTAGTTCTATGTTGCTTCTCTTTCTTTGAACAAATACATTTGTACCCTGCACCGACTTAGAGTACAATTTGCACCGACTTAGAGTACAATTAGCGTATACAAGAAGCAAGAAATGGACGCCATTTCAAGAGTGCAGAGTGAACAGCCTGTCTTTCACTTTTGCCTATGCTATCTCTGTGAAATAAAGCTTCTGAACAACGTACTAAAAGTAAGGGAACATTTTACTCTAAGTTTCAATCTGTGTCACAATCTTTTGGTCTAATATACTCTGTCAGAAATTACACATAATTCAGTAAATCTGCTTGATAGAGCAATAAGTAAACGTAGCCGGTGTTTCCATGAGATGGTGGGGTTCCTGCTCTGCTGACTGAACGTGTCCTGTTTTGCCGCCCATATGTTCTGCATTGCCAACCACATGGACTATGTTCCTGAGATATGCCCTGTAATCTACAATGGTCCTTCTGTCCCCAAGCTAATGTGAAGAATAATACATTGATTATGCTGGTCAATTTCACTCTTCTGCCACTCTTCTTTCCATATACAATATTGGGTGGTGGCACACAATTGTTTTCTAATTCTTTTCGATTTGCCTAGATTTTCTAAATTTTCTGTAGCAAAGAGTCTTACATTTGTGGTCAGAAGAAAATATAAATTCTATAACAAAACATGTTTATTCTAAAAGTAAACACAATTAATTAATTAATTGAAACCCATGTGAAGCTGGAAAGGTGGACACCTGCTCTGCCAGGTATGTCCTCACTATGACACTAATGAAAGCCTCAGTTTTTTTTTTTTTTTTTTCAGTTTTTAAATGGGGATGATTTAGTATCCCTAACCTTATGAGAATGATGGGAGGCCATGTCTATCTTCCTTATGTTTGTAAAATTTAGCTTCAAAGTTGCATACAGATAAATGTCCACTTTTTGATTAATAGTTGTAGGAATTATGAAAAATGCATAGGGTTGTATAATTACCACCAGAATAAAGATACAGAGCAGTTTCATTGCCCTCTGGAATTTTTTATTATTATCCCTTTATAGTCGTCTCCCGAACCCAGCCTTACCTCTGGCAACAATCGATCTGTTTTTGTCCTAAGTAGCTGCCCCTTTTCCAGAATGCCATATGAATAAAATTATGAAGTATGAATCTAGCATTTTTTTATTTAGAATGATGCATTGGAAATTTATACATGTAGTTGTATACATCAATCTTTACTTTCTTTTTATTACCAAGCAGCATTTCAGTGTACGAATGTACTATACGTTGTATATCCATTCACAAGGTTGTTTTCAGTTGTTGATGATTATGAACAACCTTGCTATAAATAACTATTGCAGGCTTTGTGTGAACATAAGTTTCTATTTCCTTTGTCTGAATACCTAGGAGTAGGATGAGTTGTTCATGTAAATGCACTTTTAAGTCTATAATTTATTGTGAAAGGCTTTATCAAAGTGTATAGTAGCATTTTGTGTTTTCATAAGAAATATGAGTTTTGATTGCTCCATATCCTTGTCAGTACTTACTATCATCACACATAAAAATACATTGTTCCTGCTGGGTGCGGTGGCTCACACCTGTAATCCCAGCACTTTGGGAGGCCAAGGCAGGTCAATCACCTGAGGTCAGGAGTTAAGAGGCCAGCCTGGCCAACATGGTGAAACCCATTTCTACTAAAAATACAAAAATTAGTCATGCATGATGGTGCATGCCTGTAATCCCAGCTACTTGGGGGCTGAGGTAAGAGAATCACTTGAGCTTGGGAAGTGGAGATTGCAGTGACCCGAGATCGTATCACTGCAATCTCCACTGGCGAGAGAGTGAGACTTCATCTCAAAAACAACAACGACACATACATTGTTCTGGCCATTCTAGTAGGTGTATAATGACATCACATTACAGTTTTGATTACTATTTTCCTACTTACCAATGATGATACAAATTTCATGTGCTTATTTGCCATCTTTATATTTTCTTAGGTATAGTGTCTATTTAAATTTTTGGTCCAATATTTATGGATTGTTTGTTTTCTAATTGTTGGGTTTTGATTTTTTTATATATTTGGATACACATACTTGTCTTTTTGTACTTAGAGTTGTTTTTGCATAGCAAAAGTTCTTCATAATCATAGAAGTCCATTTAATAATGTGGTCTTTGGGATTGTGCTTTGGGTATCTTAGATAACTTTGCTAAAAAAACTCACAAGAGTTTTTACCAATTTTTCTTCTAAAAGTTTTACACTTTTACGTTCTACATGTTGCTTCATAATGCATTTCTTTTTTCATTTTTATTTTTTTTGTGGATATGTAGTAGGTATATATATTTATGGAGTATATGAGATGCTTTGATACCGTCATGCAACCTGAAATAAACACATCATGGAGAACTGGGTATCTGTCCCCTCAAACATTTATCCTTTGAGTTACAAACACTCCAGTTACATTCTTCATGTTATTTTAAAATGTTATTTAAGATATAAGGGTGATGCAATAGTAATTGTGGTTTTTGCCGTTACTTTCAGCAGGAAAAGCACAATTACTTTAGCACCAACATAATATTATTGGCTATAGTGACCCTGTTGTGCTATCAAATAGTAGATCTTATTTATTCTTCCTATTTTTTGTATCCATTAACCATCCCTACCTCCCCCACCCCAGATCCCCGCTACCCTTCCTAGCCTCTGGTAACCATCCTCCTACTCTCTATGCCCGTTATTTCAATTGTGTTGATTTTTGGACCCCACAAATAAGTGAGAACATGCAGTGTTTGTCTTTCTGTGCCTGGCTTATTTGACTTAGCGTAATGATATCCAATTCTATCCATGTTACTTCAGATAACTGGATCTCATTCTTTTTTATGGCTGAATAATACAAAATTGTGTATACGTACCACATTTAATTGATCTATTCATCTGTCGATGGACGCTTAGATTGCTTCCAAATCTTAGCTATTGTGAGCAGTGGTGCAACAAACAGTGCAGCTATCCCTTCGATATACTGATTTGCTTTCTTTTGGGGACATACCCAGAAGTGGGATGGCTGGATCACATGCTAGCTCAGTTTCCAGTTTTTTGAGGAAGCTCCAAACTGTTCTCCATAGTGACTGTACTAATCAACATGCCCACCAAGAGTGTACAAGGGTTCCCTTTTCTCCATATTCTCACCAGCATTTTTTATTGCCTGTTTTTTGGATATAAGCCATTTTAAATGGTGTGAGATAACATCTCATTATAGCCTTGATTTGCATTTATCTGATGAGGGTGATATATTTTCAAGTAATTATCATATAAATTGTGAAGTGTGCATCAACTTTCATATTTTTGATATTTGTACAAACATCACAGTCCATTTTTGAATGCAGTGGTCTATTCATTGAATTTTCTTTTCATATTTGTCAAAAATTAACTGATCATCTTTGTTTGGATCTATTTCCAGGCCCTCTATTCTGTCATATTTACCTGTGACTTGATAATTGTAGCATTATTGTAGGTTTTCAAATCAGAAAATATGAGTCCTGAAAATGTGCACTTCCTTTATTCTGAGGATTGTATTCCCTTTGCTTTTCCATATACATTTTAGAAACAGCTTATCAATATCTGCAAAATATCCTACTGAGATTTGATTAGGGTTGTGTATAGAATTGTGCATAGACCATATAGACAATAGTGTGCTGTCTGTATCTCTTGTTATTTTGTTTAATTGATAGCTCTAGAACTTGAGAGATGCGTAACTAGTCTTTACAATTCAAATTGAAGTTAGTATGCTGTGCTCTTTGTGCCACCCTGTGCACATGCTATTTAGGGGTTAGTATTGGATTTGGACAATGGCTATCAGGGATCAGCATTTTTTCTGGGTAAAGGACTATATAATATCTTAGGTTTTGTGACTCACATATGGTCCATGTTGCATATTAATTGTCTGTTTGCAAACTTGCTGGATTGCTTGCTTGTTTTACAGCCTTTTAAAAAATGTAGAAAACATTATTAGCTTATGAGCTGTACAAGTTTGTCCATGGGCTGGATAATTCTGTGGGATGTCGTATTTTAAACATGGTTCATAGAATACTTAGCTCTCAAGCCTTTGCAATGCTTCTTTGAGGCTGTTGTGTGAATGGCAAGTTCAAGAGTAAGTCTGAGATTCTTATGGGTTCACACACAAAATTGCAGGATCAAAGGATCAAGTTTTCCTCTCACCAGTGTTTCCTTGACAACCTCCAGAAGCCAAGGGCCACTTACTTTGATTTCTTTAGTTCAAAACAAAGATTTCTCTGAGTCTTAATTCCTTTACATCCACTTCATTGCAAATTTCCAGAGGATTGTAGTTTTACTCTGAGCAAAGTAGCAAGAGAAAAGAGGGAGAAAAATAGCAGGACTCTTCCCACACGTTTTGGACAATATAGACTCCTCTACCTGGTCCTTCTGGCCAGAGATGCAGTTGTTCTGTATCAGGTGTTAGCTGTCTGCAGCAAGACTTTAGCAGTGCAGTTTAATAAATGACGTTGTCCTTGGAGTAGGACAGGGAGAAAAAAACATTTTACCCTAAACTCTCCAGCTTATTGTTTAAATTGCAGTTTTTGTTGTGCACATATACTTCAAAGTTCCTTGAGTTTAGCCATACTTAGGAGACACATGATGGGAAAAAATGGGAAATTCACCAGCATGCAGGTCTTTCTTCAGTTTTCACTTTTTGTCCCAGTCTGCTTGCTGTTATTAGCTTTCCAGAATCCAGGTTTCTTGTTGCGAAGAGTAGGACTAATAGGCTGGAGTGAGCTTGCTCCATTTTTGCTGACAATAGAACTCTCTGTATACATTTTTGAGGTCTTTTTTTAGATGTTTCTTATGTGTGATTTGTATGCTTACATCTTGAAGATTCTTTCATTTTGAAATATGAAGACCGACATGAGAGAGAGAACTGAATTGACTAAATATCTTGGGAACCATGTATTTTATCAGGATATATATATATATATATATATGACTCACAACTCCAAAATGGACCTAATATTAAGCTTTTTATTAAAAACTTAACTTTATAAAAAATATATATAGACAAAAGAAAATTGCCAAAAGTTCTGGCACTATTTTGGAGCCATAAATCATAACTGTAAGGAAATGGAAGATAATTTAAAACTGAATTTTGTCACATCTACTAGGAAAAAATGATCCTCGGATCATATGCATTTAAAAAACACACACATCCTTTCCCATTTGATTCCACAGAACACAACAAAACTGGAAGTCGATCATGAAAAACGATGACACCCAAAAATATGGTACTGTAGTTTCAATAGTTTTTGCATTGTCACCCTAAGAAATGGGACCATGGCACACACATTCATCAATAGAAGAAATTTTTTCTGGTATCAGACTGAATGCAGCATGAATAAATATAACTGTCAGATATCAGGAAGGCTATGGAATGTTAACTCATAAAACTGTCAACATGAGCAACACTTTATGAAAACATATATCTCAACATTTTACAGCACACTATTTCTACAATATTTAACAGATAACAGAGGATTTCTACAATCTTTGTGGTTGACATTTTCAAATGTTTGTTTATAGAATCACAGATTTAAATGTATCTTCATTACATGTAATTGGATAATCACATGGTTCGTTAATACAGACAAGGAGGAACAGTTCAACAATCAACGTAAATATTAAGATATACACAAAGATACAAGGCCTTGGAACATGTAAAGGAAAATGGGCACTCATGGTGCATACGAAATGACAATCTTAATTACACAAGGAAAAATAATGCAGGTGCATTTATTTATGTAGTCACACACAAAAAAAACCTTTGGCCTATGGAATAAATAACATGAAGAGAAATAGAAATTTAGACAGTGCCAGAGTAGCCTTCCTGAGAATTCACACATCTCTTGAGGTCTAAAAATGAGTTGCTTTCAGTAGAAAACTGATGTCTCCCTCCATGTTTTGGAATACTCTTTGGTCACTAACACTTTGAAGTTATTATGTTCGTTTTATAATTAGAGAAAAAAAATCTGGAATGAGAAGTGGGTACAATAAAATTCAAACTATGTAATTCTAATATGGGTCTTTAAATAACAATGAAATACAAACTTATTCTATTAAATTTCTCTATAAAATAAAATTATCTTTCTTGGGGTAGACTATGAAAAACTGACAACATTCTTCAAATTACAAATGAAAGAAAGGAATTCATTCATTAAATATTTATTGAGCTTGTATTATTGTGTCTAGTAAGAAGTCAGTCATTGTTGTCTTAAAATGGTTTATTGCCTTTATAAAAATATAAATATGCAATAATTCCTTAATGGCCAGACTAATTGTCTATGTTATAAAGTGAGATTGCATAGAAAACAGACCTAATGTGCTTAAGCCTGTATCTCTGCATGAAGTGATTGGAAGGAACCAGAATGTTGTTGTCATTTGCCTTTGGCAAGGTATTATGAATAAGAAATGAGCACAGGTAGGAGCTGATTGGGTTTTAAACAATAATCATATGGAATACATAGAAACTTCAATGTTCAAAGGCATGGCAACTGAAAAGGATGAGTCCTGCTGGGCCCAATTACAAACATTGTCTAAAATGGTTTTGAGTAACAATACCCAGTGAATCAGACCATTCTCATGCTGCTAATAAAGACATACCTGAGACTGGGTAATTTATAAAGAAAAAGAAGTTGAATGGGCTCACAGTTGCACATGGCTGGGGAGGCCTCACAATCATGGCAGAAGGCAAAGGAGGAGCAAAGGCACGTCTTACATGGCAGCAGGCAATAGAATGTGTGCAAGGGAACTGCTCTTTAGAAAACCATCAGATCTCATGAGACTTATTCACTATCAATAGAACACCATGGGAAAGACCCACCCCCATGATTCAATCATCTCCCACCAGGTTCCTCCCACAACACATGGACATTTTGGGAGCTACAATTCAAGATGAGACTTGGGTGGGGACACAGCCAAACCATAGCAACCAATAAAACATTTCAGTTGAAGAAAGTGTTTCAACTATAGGACAAAGTGAGATGAGTCTCAAAGTTGCTGTGGTTATTTGTAAGAAAGAAAGATAAGTAGATGATAGTGACTTTGTGAATAGGTAAAAAGTCTGGAGATAGAAACAGGCTGATGGAATTATATGGAAGCAGACCCTAGAAGCTCACTGACACTTTTAGGCAATTATATTTACCAAAGAATCATAAAACTAGGACTAAAATAACCTTAGGCAATTCAAGCAGGAAAACACCACTTGGGCCTACGCTTGCATGTAGAAAAAAACAGCCTGAAAAACTGTAGATCTGTGGAAAAATCGTAGCACACCAAAAAAGGGCTGTTACCAAACATTCACTTTACATGTAGCCAGGGTGGATAATGGATGTAAGATGACTTCCAGGGAACAAAATCAGGGTCTGATGAAGAACTTCTCCACTTCAAGAAAGGAACCTTACCAAGGTGGTCAACTCCTTTTTAAGGGGAGTTTTAATTGCAAAAATCCTGGTCCTGTTCCATATTTTATAAGATTTGTGTGTGAGGGTTTTTGTCTTTTTATTTCACAGTTTCATCAGATTTTAGGGAAATAAAGAGCTTGCTTGAAGAACTTCAAGTCCAGATATACTGAGGAATTCTGTCTCATTTGTTTAACTCTTCTGTTCAACCTGGACCAGTCATTCTCTCAAAGTACGCATGACAACAAGTGGTACACATTTTGTTTAAAAAAAAAAAAAAAAGAGGGACTTTGCAAGGATTGCCATCAACTTAGGCAACCTGATGATTTAATATTCTTGGTTGACTTTGGGAGTCATGTTCCAAAGACAACAGAACCTCTGTTGGTCTGGGTTTCTGAGTAAACAAGTGAGGCAGATGCATCTTGATTATCATGTCCATAACCATCTGGGTTTCAGGCACCATTAAACTGAGCCATAGAGATTTGAAGCATAGAGCAATGAAAATAACCATAACTAACTCATAAACATGCTTCCGCATTTTGTATACTCCTATTTGTTTTGTATTTTTACAATCAATTTTTTTAAATGAGGCAAAGCATTTGAGGAAAACCTCAGGAGTATTTAAACTGTTGCTATCTGGAATAACTGAAGAGAGACTTAGAAGACTTGGCATTACAAAGCTAAAAGAAAAAATATGTAACTAATTCCTATTTTCCTTTAAATAAATAATGTCTAAATATTATATCTTGAACTCTAATCTACTATGATTTCTTTAATCTACTATGATTTCTTTTTTTTTTTTTTTAGATGGAGTCTTGCTCTGTCACCCAGGCTGGAGTGCAGTGGCACAGATCTTGGCTCACTGCAACTTCTGCCTCCTGGGTTCAAGCAGTTCTCCTGCCTCAGCCTCCCAAGTAGCTGGGACTACAGGCACCCGCCACCATGCCCAGCTAATTTTCGTATTTTTAGTAGAGATGGGGTTTCACCATGTTGGCCAGGCTGGTCTCGATCTCCTGGCCTTGTGATCTGCCCATTTCGGCCTCCCAAGATTTCTTTTATAAAAAAGAAAGCATAACATAAAAATAAAACTCAATTATGTTTTTATTGCACTCAATTAGAGTGTTGTGCAATAGTAATATATATATTTTAAATCAACTGAAAATCAGGACATTTTCTACACTAGTGGAATATTTCAGATAAATTAGTTTCTTCATTAATTGCAATGTCATCAGTAACAAAATTATTATTTTAGAAAATCATTTTTCCAATTTTTAGTGAATAATGAATTTGATGTATACAAATTTTAAACACTTGTGTATTAGTTTCCCAGAGCCGTTATTACAAAGCTATACATTATACACCAGATACCTCAACCGCCTTCTCCTCAGTCACCTACATTAGCCGAGACATGAACTACGGCTGAACTATCCTCTATCTTCACGCTAATGGGGCTTCGATATTCGAGGACCACAGACTAGAAGGCATAAAATGACAGAGATTTGTATTCTCACAATTCTGAAGGCTGTAAGTCCAATGTCAAAGTGTTGACAAGGCCAACCTGTAAGGGAGACTCCTTTCTAGCTGCCTAGCTTCTGGTGGTGGCTGGCAAACGGCTGGCATTTTTTGCCTTGCAGCTGCAGCACCTCAGTCACTACTGCTGTCATCACACATATTCTCTTCTTGCCTGTCACTCTGTCCTTATAAAAGGACGCCAGTCACATTGGGGTTGTGGCCTACCCTACTCCCGTATGGCCTCATCTCACCTTAACTGATTACATCTTCAATGATACTATTTCCAAATAAGCTCATATTCTAAAATACTGGGAATTAGGACTTCAGTATACCTTTTGGAGGCAAAATTTAACCCATAAAAACTTGCTATGTTTTTAAATTAATAGATATACACAAGAAAAAGCATAATGACTTGGTTTGAGTTATGTTAGCTTACAATGTTATTTCTCCATTCGTTTTGATAATGACCAGAAACCAAGCTGAAAAATCCATTGTAGAAGTTTAGAATTCAAGTCTCAGTATTGTTTTATATCTCAACTGAAATGTCCTTTCCCTGTTACATCTCCCCACCAAAATTCAATATGAACCATAGTACTGGAAAATCTAAAACTTATAATTAAAAGAGACAAAATTCACATTTTAAGCAATATCACACTGTCACCACTGAAACTCTATAAGCAGATAAGTAGGGCTGATAGGAGGACAGATTGAATAATTAGCATATTTAAACCCATACACTCACATGACTTTAAATCATTAATAAGTAAACAGGAAGTGAGACCTCTACTACAACATGCCAATTCTTTTATGTTCTGTTTATATGAATCTATTACACATCATAAATATAACTTATAGCTCTGTTTTTTTATGAGTAAATGCAGTTAAACAATGGGCCAATTCTATCAAACAGTATGTGGTTCAATAGCATAATAGTAATAATATGGTAATATAATAATATAATATTAATAGTTACCATTAAATTATGACAATGGTAATTATAGTTGTTTGCACGCACAGATATAAATATATGTACTAATTTTATTTTCTATTCTCTATTACTTGTTTTACTAAAAAACATTTTTTCTGAGAAAAAAAGCAATGAATCTTTTTTATCTATCTACCCATCCAGTATCTATTTATTTTGCAAAGAAAGGAATAAATGCCTTAGGGTAATTGTGGATGGAAATTCTTAAGGTAGCTTGCTACATGGAATGGCATAGTTTTTAATTTTGATTTTTTAAAAATTTCAGTTCAACATAGATATAATATTTAGTTCTGGTCTTAAAATAACTCAAGCCCACTATTTTTATTCCAGTATGTTTCCATTATATTATAAACAAAAAAGAGCTCATCTGTCCTTTCAGGTAGTACCTCAGAAACCATAGAAACCGCCTGTTTATATCACCTTGTCTTTCCTTCCTCTTCATAAACCTTTCCAACAGAGTGAAGGTACATTTTAGTTTTATTAGGCCATAAAACTTGGTGCAATACATTTCATCCTTTTACGAATTGTCTTGAGAACATTTTAATTGTGTTTCATTGTGCCTTGGTGTCAGATATGTTCTTTTATGACCTACTCTTCAAACCTCACTCATTACTCTTCTCAGTTTCTCTGCTAATGAGCAACATTGTCTTTCATAAGATCTTTTGTCAGTTCTAAAGCTGTAAACTTCTCCGTGTGAGTATTTGTGCTTATGTGTCTTCGTGTTTTAACTGCATATTTTTAATCTTGCTCTTCTAATTTTCTTCACTCAGTTACAAACATCCATAAAATACCTTCTCATATTTAACTCTGACACATTTTTCTTATTTATTTTCCCATGACTAAAAAACTACTGTACAGCCATTTTGAAAAGTTATTTTCAATGAAAATAATATTAATTTACACAAATTAAAGAAAATGTTATAATTATTTGATGGTTAACATCATAGAATTTTTGTTATTCCTGATAGAAAGCAAATCCAAATACAGCTCCATGCAGTCCACCGGTAGCTGGATATAACATGGAAGTAGTGTTGTTAGGAAAGAGGGTGCAGTTTAATGGTGCTTGGGAAAGAAACTGAGGACAGACTATAGCTAAAGCTCTGAAAAGCAACCCTTCTATAGAAAAGAGTCTTTTCTATAGGGTTTCTATATGATTCTTTGGTAAATATAATTGCCTTAAAGGGTCAGTGTACTTCTACGGTCTGCTTCCATACAATTCCATCTGCCTGTTTCTATCTCCAAATGTTTTTCCTATTCACAAAGTCACTATCATCCACTTATCTTTCTAAAGGGTTGCTTATGCAGAACATGAAAATTTAGCAACAGTAAAAAACTAAAGCTATGCTATTTTCGTGGTCGTTTTTGTTATTGATATTCTTTTTGTTCCCGTTCCCTCTACATTAAGCTTGTAGAGGTTTATGAAGTTTTTTTTCCCTCCCCTTTTACCTACAAAATTGATTCTATGGAGAGGAACCTGTGACTTCAAGAAGGGGACCCTTTTGGAAGGGAAGCACTGACTGAAGAAGACGTTCCCATAGTCCTCCAGAAGAGACAAAGAACTCTGGAAACAGTGAGTAGCAGTCCTGAGCAACATAGGAACTCTCCCATCCCCAGGATGGAAATATACATGATCAACTTAAGAGGAAGCAAGCGGTTGGGTCCTGCTGCAGATAGGAATTGTATAGCAATTGCCTATTGACTCTGATGTCTGAAACTGAGGCTTCAGTGTGGCAAAAAAGCCAGGAGGACTGATAAGAGAGAAAATGGAAGGAAGGGAAAGAATGTAATTAAGAACATAGTTTATCCCTGATTTCAATGGAAATTAAGAAAAAAATAATAAAACAAAAATTGGGATTTGCTCTGTTTCCTTACTTTTGTATGATCTGCATGTACACCTATAGCTATATTTCTACCTTTCTATATCTAAATTTATATTTATAAATTCTATCTAATTTTGTGTGTGTGTGTGTTTACCTTATTACCGATATAGTCCTGATATAATCTTTTTCTTTTTTTTTTTTTTTGAGACAGAGTCTTTCTCTGTTGCCCAGGCTGGAGTGCAGTGGCATGATCTCAGCTCACTGCAACCTCCGCCTCCTGGGTTCAAGCAATTCTCCTGCCTCAGCCTCCCTAGTAGCTGAGATTACAGGAATGTGCCACCATGCCCAACTAATTTTTGTATTTTCAGTAGAGATGATGTTTCACCATGTTGGCCAGGCTGGTCTCGAACTCCTGACCTCAAGCAATCCACCCGCCTTGACCTCCCAAAGTGCTGGGATTCCTGATATAGTCTTAAAAATATGGGCAGACTGTGCAGAGCAATGAAAGCATGATAGAAAAGGCATGATTACATGCAACTGATCACAGGAGAACTTGTTGATAGGTGCATAGACAAAATTAATCTACTTTGTTGGCAACTCTTGTTTTCCTTTCAGTAATAATCACTTAAGTGTTTAATCTTTTTTCTTTAAGCTCTGTGGAGAATATGAAGTTGTTTAATATAGTTGTTGCTTTTTTTCTACTTACTCATTAACAAGAATTCTATTAAATACAGAAAGGCTTTTCTGAAGAAAGGATTTAAATTACACTAAAATGTATTTCAGTTTTCTTGAAAATACCACACCAAAGTGACATTTTTCGTAGAGGAAAATAAAACCTGAGGTTTTACCTTTACTTTTAAAGTATTTTCTTAGTAACGTTTTTGTGAATATGCTGCTAACTACACTCGTGGCTATAACATCACAACTCTTATTTTTTCAAAGAAATTGTTTATTCACTGGGAATATTTACATTTATTTTATTTTAGATTTCTTAACTATTTGTAGTTTAAGTAGAAGGCCACAGGATATATGAAGTTGCCTTTATATTTTTCATTCAGTTTTTAAAAATGCTTCTGAAGAATATGTTTTATAAAGGTATTTTGCTTCATACCATGGTCTTTTCCTCCAAATACTGGAGATCTAATTGCTGCTTCTGATCACAGAAGTTCAAAGAGGTGGGTGGTTATTATTGTTGCACCTTCTCGCATTGTGACAAGCCCCTCCTCCTCCAGTTGAAGTGACTTTCAGGGTCATTAAAATGCCAGCATCTTTCCTCCTTGCTTCATTTTTCTCTTTTTTCCTCTTTTAGGAGCTAGGCATTAAGGACTAAGACATACAAAACCAATGTATGTATGAAGAAAGTTAGAAAGTGATCATGCATGACCAGGGAAAGCTGCAGGCTCAGAAAAGACTGAGAGTACTTTAAGTTTGCACTTCAGCCTGATGCTTGGCACAGAGTCTACAACAACAAAAAGATAAGAGTCTACAACAACAAAAAGATAAATAAGTACAAACAAAAACAGTGAACCCAGGGGTAGCATGAAAATTTGATTTCCAGACTTAGCCCATGATTTGATTAAAATATCCAGTTTTTAACAAAAAAAATTACCATGTATAAAAAAATAGGAAACTTCAGCCCATTCAAAGAAAAAAAAATAAATAGAAACTGTCTCTGAAAAAAGATCTGACTGCAGAACTACTGAACGATACTTTAACTCTCTTAAAGATGCTCCGGAAACTAAAGATGTAGAGAAAGTCAAGAAAATGCAGTATGAACAACAGAAAAATATCAATAAACAGAAAACCTAAAAAAAAAAGAAATTTTGGAGCTGAGAAGTACGATAATCAAAATAAAAAATATACAAGAGCAATTCAAAGGCAAATCTGAATAGGCAGAAAAAAGAATCTAATTTACTTGTGGGATACCATCAAGCTGACCAACATATTCACTGCGAGAATCCCAGAAGATAACGAGAGAAGGCAGAGAAAATATTTGAAGATGTAATGGCTGAGAACTTTTTAAATTTGATGAATGACATGAATATAAACATCCACAAAGCTCAGCAGAGTCCAAGTAAGATGAACCAAGAGATCCACACTCAGAAACATAATCAAATTTTTGAAAGATAAAGACAGACTCTTGAAAGCAACAGAGAAAAGTAACTCATCATATACAATAAAATTATCAGCAGATTTCTCATCAGAAACTTGAGGCCAGAAGGCAGTGAGTCAATGTATTGAAAGGGCTAAGAGAAAAAACAAAACAAAACAAAACAAATATAATTAAGAATTCTACATCCAGCAAAAGTGCCTTTCAAAAGGGAGGGAGAAATTAACACATTTCCAGATAAAGAAAAGCTGAGGTTAATCATCACTAGACTTACCTTGCAAGAAATGGTTAATGAAATCCTGCAGGGTGGAAAAAAAAAAAAAAAAAGAACACTAGAGAGTAATTCAAAGGAATATGGAGAAATAGTAATCTCAATAAAGGTAAATCTATGGGCAATTATAAAAGCTAACATAATTGTAACAATAGTTTATACCTCTACTTTTTGTTTTCTACATGATTTAAGAGGTTAACTCATTTAAAGAAAACAATTATTACTCTAAGTGCTAATAGAAATGTAACTTTGGTTTGTAACTCCACATTTTGTTTTCCACATAATTTAGAAACTAATGCATTTTTAAAGTTATTAGTTTATCTTGGGGGGCACATAATATATAAAGGTATAATCTTATGATGTCAAATACTAAAAAGGCGGGACAGGGAGGCTCACACCTATAATCCCAGCACTTTTGGAGGCCAAGGTGGGAAGATGCTTGAGCTCAGGAGTTTGAAACTAGCCTAGGCAACATAGTGAGACTCTGACTTTACAATTTTTTTAAATTTAATAAATTAGCCACGTGTGGTGGTTCATGCCATAGTTCTAGCTACTCAAGAGGCTGAGGTAGTTGTATCGCTTGAGCCTGAGAGGTTGAAGCTGCAATGAGCCATTACTGCACCACTGTGCTCCAGCCTGGGCTACAGAGCAAAACCCTGTCTTAAAACAAAACAATACAAACAAACAAAAAAACAACTACAAGGTGTGGGGATAGAGCTATAAAGGAAGGAGAGCTTGTGTACATTACTAAAGTTAAGCTGGTGTAAATTCAAATTAGAGTATGATAACTTGAGAATTGTACACAAAATTTTCACAGTAACCACAAAGTAAATAGCTTAGAAGATATGCAAAAGGAAACGAGAAAGAAATTTAAACATTTCCCTACCAAAAAATCAAGTAAACACAAAAGAGGACAGTAATGAAAAAAAAAAAATAGGTACAAAAAAGCTATAAGGCATTTATAAAACAAATGACAAAAATAACATTAGTATGTCCCTTCTTATCAGTAATTTCCCTAAGTGTCAATTGATTAAACTTTCAAATCAAAAGACAAATTGGCACAATGGATTAAAAGCCACCTGGACCAACAATATGATATCTACAAGAGACTCACTTTTGAGCCAAAGACATATAGAGATTGAAGAAGAAAGGAGAAAACAGATGATATTTCATGCAAATAAATCCCAAAAGAGAGCAGGAGTGGCTGTTCTATGACAAGAATTATAAATTTTAAATAAAAAAATGATATGTGGGAAAAGAAGGAAATCATACATTAATAAAAGTTTCAATGCACCAAGAAGATACAACAATTATAAGCATGCACCTAATAACAGACCATCAAAATATTTGAAACCAGAGCTGACAGAATTGAGATGAAAAACAGGTAGTTCTATGATAATAGATGGAAACTATAATGCCCTCCCCCCCCAATAATATATAGACAAACCATACAGATCATAAGTACGGAAATGGAGGACCTAACACAATATACCAACTAAATCTAACAGACTTACAGAGAACACTCTACCCTGCAGCAGTAGCACACATATCTTCTCAAAGGCACACAAGACATTTTTCAGGATAGACGAAATTAGGCCACAAATTAAATCTCAATACATTTCCAAGATAGATATCACACTAAGTATCTTCTCTGACCAAAATGTGAGGAAGTTACAAATCAGTAACAGAGATAAAATGAAAATTTACAAAATTGTGGAAATTAACAACAGAACATTAACCAATGTAAATCACAAGGAAAATTAGAAAATGTAAAATGACAGAAAACAAAAACAAAATAGAACAGAACATATGAAACAGCAAAAGCAGTGCTTAAGGGAGAAACTTACAAGTACAGAAGCTTATATTAAAAAGAGCAAGAAACGCCGGGCGAGGTGGCTCACACCTGTAATCTTAGCACTTTGGGAGGCCAAGGCAGAGGTTGCAGTGAGCTGAAATCACGCCACTGCACTCCAGCCTGGGCGACGGAGCAAGACTCCATCTAAAAAAAAAAAAAAAAAAAAAAGAAAGAAACTAGAAAAAGAAAAGTATAGCTAAACCTAAAACCAGAAGGAAGAAAATAATTAAGATTAGAGTAGAGGTAAATAAAATAAAGAGTATAAAACAATAGAGAAAAGTAAATGAAATCAAAAGTTGGCTCTTTAAAAAAAAATCAAAGCTGACAAAACTTTAGTTATGTGGACTAAGGAAAAAGAAGACTCAAATTAATAAAATCAGAAATGAAAGTGAGGACATTACTTCCATTTTCACAAAAATAAAAATGATGATAAGAGGATACTATGAAAAATAGTATGCCAACAATTTTTGACAAGGATGTCAAGATCATCCAATGGAAAAACGATAGTCTTTTCAACAAAAGATACTGGGCTATTTGGATATCCACATGCAAAGTAGTAAATTTGGATGTTCACCTAACACCATATGCAACAATTAATTTAAAATAGATCAAAGACCTAAATGTAAGATCTAAAACTCTAAAAATCTTAGGGAAAAAAAAGCAGAAGCTCATAATATTGGCATTGTCAATGATTTCTTGAAAACCATAGGCACAGGCAACATAAGAAAAAAATAAGTTTTACTTTATGAAAATTAAATTTTGTGCATCAGAAGACAATATCAGTATCAAAAGGCAACTCACAGGATGGGAGAAATTATTTGCAAATCTTATCTTTCAATAATTGATTAATATGCAAAAACATGTATGGAATCCCTACAACTCAACAGCAGAAAAAGAACTGTTTAAAAATAAACAAAAACTTAAAAAGACATTTCTTCAAAGAAGATATACAAATGACCAGTAAGGACAAGAGAAGATGCTTAACATCACTAATTAGCAGGGAAATGTACATCAAAATTTACAATGAGATAGCACCTCAAACCCATTAGAATAATTAGTATTAAAAAAAAAAAAAAACCGGAAAACATATCCCAGAATATAACAAGCATTGGTGAGGATAGAAGAAACTGGAACCAGAAAAAAAAAGAAAAGAAAAGAAAAAAACAGAAAATAACAAACATTGGTGAGGACATAAGAAACTGGAACACGTGTGCATTGCTGGTGGGAACGTAATATGGTACAGCTTCTATGGACAGTAGTATACTGATTTCTCAAAAATTTCAAAACTGAATTACTATGATTACTGTATGATTCAACAATTCCGCGTTTGGGTATATACCAAAAAGAATTGAAAGCAGAGTCTCAAAGAGATATCCGTACACCCATGTTCCTAGCACTATTATCCACGACACGTGACATATGAAAGCAACACAAGCATTCAGCAGTGGTTAAACAGAGAAGCAAAATGTGGTATATACATAAAATGGACTATTAGTCAACCTTAAAAAGAAAGGAATTCTCTAATATGCTACAGCATGGATGAAGTTCAAGGACATTGTTCTAAGAGGAATAAGCCAGTCACAAAAAGACAAATACTGTATGATTCTACTTTTATGAGGTACCTTGATTATTCAAAATCATGTACTCAGAAAGTAACATGGTGATTGCCACTTGTGGGTGGGAGAAATGGGAATTGTTTAGTGGGCACTGAGTTTCAGTTTTCCAAGATGAAAAGGGTAATGGAGATGTATGGTGTTGATGGTTGCATAACGTTTTGAATGTATTTAAGACCCCAGAATGGTGCACTTAAAAGTGGTTAAGATGGCAAATTTTATGTTATGTACATTTTACCACAATAAAAATAGTATAAAAACAATTTCATTTTAAAACATATTTTAGATCTTGCCTGGTGTGGTGGCTCATGCCTGTAATCCCAGCACCTTGGGAGGCCAAGGCGGGTGGATCACTTGAGGTCAGGAGTTCAAGACCAGCCTGGCCAACACGCTGAAACCCAGTCTCTACTGAAAATACAAAAATTAGCTGGATGTGGTGGTGTTACCCTGTAATCCCAGCTACTTGGGAGGCTGAAGCAGGAGAATCGCTTGAACATGGGAGGTGGAGGTTCCAGTGAGCCAAGATCGCACCACTGCATTCCAGCCTGGGCTACAGGGTGAGACTCTATCTCAAAGAAAAAAAAAAGTATATATATATATATGTATAGTATATATATTATATATTATATTTATATATTATACATAATATATATTTTATATATTATATAATATATATTATTAAATATATTAAATATATAATTACATAATATATAATTATATATTATATACACTATATAACATATATAGTGTATATATATGTTATATAGTGTATATAATATATATTAGATCTCTTACAAGATTTGGTGATTAAGTGTATCACTTGGGATAAATATATTCATGGTACTATACCTTTGCTGTTAAAACAAAATCAAAGTTTATGGCATTTCCTTTAATGTTTAGTTTAGTTAACTGTATAATATTTCTCTTTATATTATTTAACAATAACAAAAATTCACTTTAAATTCACTGGGTTGCATAATTTACACATGTAGAGAACTTCTTTTAATCATCATTTATTGTGCACATACCATAGACAGACACTAATCCTGGTATGGAGAATACTGCCAGGAACAAACCCAATTTCCTACTACAATGGAAATTGCATTCTAAGGGAAAAGAAGTGGTGATAATTGTCAGACACATGAGTAACATGTCAGCTAAATATATTACAATATATCTGCGTTATACAAAATATATACAATATAGCCATTGTAATGTCGCAGTTGAACACATTACTCAGGTGTTGGTGAGGCTGGTAAAACTTACTTGTCCTGCCAGTCATGTAAAAGTATAGCATATTTAGTTACACACAGTACATAATACTTGATAATAAACAGTGTATTACTGGTTTACATATTTATTATACTATATATTTTATCATTAGTTTAGAGTGTACTCCTTCTAGTTATATATATTTTTAAAAAGGTAACTATAAAAATGCTCCAGGAAGGTCCTTCAGCAGGTCTTCCAGAAGAAGGCATTATTATCATAGGAGATGACAGCTCCACGAGTCTTATTACCCTTGAAGATCTTCCAATGGGACAAGATGTGGAAGTGATATAACAATCACATTAATTCAACAGCAATATTAATAATACTGATCCTGTGTAGGCCCAGGCTGTGTTTTTGTCTTCATTTTTAACAAAAAACTGTAACAAGTTAAAAATAAAAACTAAAAAATTTTAACAATGGAATAAAACTAATAGAATAATGATGGAAAAATAATTTTGTACAGCTTTACAATATGTTTATGTTTTAAGCTAAGCATTGTTTCAAAAGAGCCAAAAAATTAGAAAATTTAAGTGTTTATAAAGTCAAAAAGTTAAAGCCAGTTAATTTATTATTTAAGAAATAATATATACATATTTTTAAATTTAGTGTGTCCCACTTACACAATGTTTATAAAGTCTACAGTAGTGTACAGTTAATGTGCCAGGTCTTCACATTCACTCACCACTCACTCACTGACTCACTCAAAGCAACATCCAGTCCTGCAAGCTCCATTCATGGTAAGTGCCCTGTAGAGGTATATTTTTTTTAATCTTTTATAATGTACTTTTACTGTGTCTTTCTATGTTTAGATATGTTTAGATACACAAACACTTGCCATTGTGTTACAATTGCCTGCAGTACAACAACATGTTGTACAGGTTTGTAGCCTAGAAGCAACCGGCTGTACCATAGAGCCTAGGTGTGTAGTAGACTACAGCTAGATTTATGTAAGTGCACTCTGTGATGTTCACACAACAATGAAATCACCAAATGATGCATTTCTCATAATGTAGCCCCATCATTAAGTGATGCATGCCTGTATATTGAACATGTGTGAGGAGCAGAAAGAGGCTATCTGGAAAGAATAAGGAATATGGAGAGTGTCAGGCAGATAAGATCAGAAGGTACAGAGAGGTGAATGATGAGGACAATATGATTTAGACGAAGGATTCTGACTTTTATTTGGAATGATGTGGAAAGTCATTAGCCATTAATGTTTTTGACCAGAAGAACTGTCCGACTACCACGATGAGAATAGACTAAGAAGCGCCAAAGGAGAAAACAGGGAATCAGTGGAAGTTAACTGTCATAGTCAAAATATGAGATCAGAGGATTTAGACTGGAGTTGTGGTGGTGGTAGAGAAGGTAAGAAGCAGCCAGTCAGATTTTGTAACCAAATTGAAGATATAGCCAATGGAATTTTTTGTGCCTTGAGTGTGCGATGTAAGAGAGTTAGAGGAGCCAGGATAACAACTTTGTATTTTATTTAAGAAACTCAAGGGTGGTTGCCCACATCATAGATGAAGAATGGTCAATGGTTTAATTTCTCTTAAAAAATTCAAGGAGAAAATTATTGTTACTGTACATAAATTCAAATACTCAAAATGATAAAAATCTGATTATATTCCATATTGGAAAAATTTTTAACCAGAAGAAACTTCAGTTGCATTTTTTTAAGGATCAGTTTAAATGACTCATGAGGAAAATAGACTATTAGTATCTTTTTACTTGATATTCTACAGGAAAAATAAATGTATTGGGAATTCAGGCACATATGCAACAATATTGCTTCAACTGCTCTGAAATTATTTTGCCAATCAAACAAAATTACTCAACAATTTATAGTCACTGATGGGTAGTTAAATCAGAACAGATGCATCATTCTGGAAACATAATCTACATTGCCTCTTATCCGAAGGGTGTACATAATAATTGATAGACCAGATTTGCATAATGAGAAGATCAAGATGTATAAGAAGAAATAATTATTTTTGATGATGTTGGTAACTTCAATTTAATTATAAGCCATTTAGATTAGTAATATATATCCATGTTTCTAAGAACATAATGTCTAAAATGAAATGAACCCCAAATGAATTTAAATTTGTTATAAAGCATTACATCTATTGTTTAAAGATAGTTCAAGTTAGCATAACCACAAAGAATGTGATAGGTGACTTAAAACTATTATCTTTTTTAATATTATTGTTAGCCTTTAAATTTGATATTTCTTATTGAATCATACACTCAATGCCTGACAGTAATATTATTGAAACATTTAACTTGTTTTATAAATAGAAATACAAATTACAAAGGATGTCACAAATAGTACTAAAATGTATGGATTACTTGCAAGGAGTGTTTCCTTTTAAAGAATTACAATAGGAAATGTTTATGCATACGTACACACAACATTGTAATTTTAGCACGATTTTTTTTTAAGCCCAGTGTCTTGAAAGATGGAATATCACAATACGTTGGTTTGTAACAATAATTAATTGTTCTTCTTCCTTTTTGTAAAAGCAGAATGTCAGAAAGTAATTATTCATTTATGGTTTCTTATAGTGTATAGAATTATTATCTAATATTGATTATTGACATGAAACTGTGTTTTCTGCAAGGTTTAGAGTAGACAAATATGAAACATTTGATCTGGGAATCACATCAAAAAAAAGAATTTACTTTAGCATAGAACATGTAGAAAGTGGGCTTGATATATTTTATGTATATATATATATACACACACACACATACATATATACACATGTGTATATATTATATATGTGTATATACATATACATGTATATATGTGTATATACATATACATGTATATATGTGTATATATGTATATATGTGTATGTGTATATACACACGTGTGTGTATGTGTATATACACACGTGTGTATATGTGTGCATTGCATATACACGTGTGTATATGTGTACATATACATATGTGTGTATATGTGTATATATGTGTGTATATATGTGTATGTGTATATATACATGTGTATGTGTGTATATATACATGTGTATCTGTGTATATATACATATATGTGTATGTGTGTATATATACATGTATATATACATGTATGTGTGTATATATACATGTATGTGTGTATATACACGTATGTGTATACATGTATGTGTATGTGTGTATACATGTATATGTATGTGTATATACATATGTGTATGTATATATACATATATGTGTATGTATATATACATATATGTGTATGTATTGTATATATATAATTTTTGTATATATACACAAATGTGTATTACATATATACACACGTGTATATATATACAAAAATTATATATATACAATACTACATGTATAATACCATTTTTTCAGTATTGCTAATTCTGGTCTTATGAAAATGAGTCAAGGCATAAAAAACTTTTTAAAAATTTATAATGGTTTTCTTTAAATTTGTATGCTGCATTCAACAAATATTTTTAAAGCACCTTATTTTAAACACATTTCTTCACTGAATATTTGATAACAAAAGAAGCAAACAAAAAATTGTTACTGGCAATGAGGGGCCAGGCAAAAATGTAAGTTTTAGGTTTATAACAGAGAGAAAGAAAACCTTTTCTCTGCCATATTGCACTTCAGTGTTTACAAACATCATTGTTTGTTATTATTTTAAAGAAAGGCTAAATTTGGTCATCAATTAAAACTATTTTGAAGGCTTGTGCTTTCCTATGCTAAAACTTTTACCAAATATATTAAGTAGCCACAAAATCAACATATGTGAAGTAAATAAATGCAGATGAAATCACTGATGGATACAGATACAGGAAATATATTTAGTGAGAAGACTGATAAAACTCCTAACATTTTAGCAAATTATATTCTGCTAATATTGAGAAAATGTATCCCATGAAGTTGTGGTGGAGGCGAAAGTTCACTTTGTTCTTTATGCGGGTTCAGAATTCATGCTGAATAAATACCTAAAAGAATATATGTAAATTCCTTTGGAAGAGAAACAAAAGCTAGTAAATGTAATGTATAATATTCATTAGTCAAGATAACACTGTGTTTCAAATCTTCTGTCATTTTATTTGATTTTTATTTACTGGTCCTATCAATTTTTGTTAAAAGAGTGATGAAATTCTAACTAATTGTGGACTAATAATTAAGGACTTTTTTCAGTTCTGTCTGTTTTGATTTTATGTTATTAGATATATACACATTGAATTGATTCTTTTAGCATCGTAAAATAGCATTTGTATCTCTGGTAATATTTCCTGTCTTGAATCCTATTTATTTTCTCTTTTATTAACGTTGCTACTTCAGCTTTCTTATGATTAGTGTTTATGCAATAGTAGTTTTTATTGTTTTACTTTGAACCAGCCTGTATTCTTTATATTTAAAGCATGCTTCTTTTTGACAGCTTAGAGTTAGATCTAGATGCTTTTTCATCTATTCTGACAAGCAAAATAGAGTGTTTAGAATATTTAAATTTAACGTAATTTTCAAAATTATAGAATTTAAATCTACCATCTTAACATTTGTTTTCTATTTGGCACATTTGTTCTTTGTTTCTTTCTTCTTTTTTCTACTCTCCTTTGGATTATGAGTATTTATTATTACTTTATTTTTTCCTTACTAGATTATTAGCTACATGTCTTTGCTTAAATTTTAAGTGGTTACACTTTACAAAATGCATTTTAAAATAGCATATTCTACTTTCAAATAATACTAAACCTCTTCATATAATGCAAACATTCAACAGTTCTTTTTTGCAGCTTTAAGTATAACTGATATGTCAAAAACTGTACATATTTAATATATACAATTTAATAAATTTGGACATGTGTATACACTTGTGATCCCATCATCAAAATCACAGTAGTAAACATATCCATCTTCTCTCAGTTTCCTGTGTCCCATTCATTTTTTGTTTGTTTGTAGTCAGAAACAAGAGATCCACCCTCAAATAATATTTAAGTGTACAACAGCATATTGTTAACTATAAAATAATGTTGTAAGGCAGATTTCTAGAGTTTATCTTGTATAACTGTAACTTTATACTCATTAAACCATAGCTCCCCCTTTCCCTTCCCTAATCCCCTGGCAAACACCATTTTATTTTCTGCTTCTATGTATTGGCTATTCAGATACCTCATGTAAGTGGATTCATGTAGAATTTGTTCTTTTTGTGACTGACACTTCACTTAGCATGTCCCTCAGGTCCATCCGTGTTGTCACAAATCGCAAGATTCCCTTATTTTTTAGACTGAATAATATTTCAGTTTTATATGTGTGTGTGTATGTCTATATATATAAAAATGTGTGTGTGTATGTATATATATAGACGTACACACATATATATATAGACATACACACACATATATATACACACATACACACACACACAAACACACACACATTTTTATCCATTTTATCCATTTCTTCATCAGTAAACATTTGGGTTATCTCCAAATATTGGCTATTATAAATAATGCTGCTAGGAACATGGGAGTGTGATACTTTTTCATTGGTATGGTTTTTTCCCACAAAACCTGGAGTTACCACAAAAGTGGCAACAGGAGAGTTCCCACAAGGAAGTGCCCCAAACTGTCCTGAGATGACTGGGATGTCAAAGAAAGAAGCACAGAATGCCAGGGTAATCAGTCACTAGTATTTATTAGGGGAACTTACTTACAGAGAGCTACAGCAACCCTCAAGATGGACAGTGAGAGAATGGAGTATTCTACTTATGTATGTCCACAGTGAGTAGGGTAGGGTATAGAGTTTTTGGGAGGGTTAAAGGAATTTGGATCAGGCCTAGGGCCAGTTTCCTTCAGTGTACCTTTATCAATGCCTGGGGATGTGCAAGGCCGGGGTTTGGGTTTAAGCCTGCTGGGAAAAACCTGAAGCTGAGTCACAGATAGAAAGCAGGGGGAGCTGAGGAATCCTCCAGCATTGGCAATAATTTCATGTATATAATTTCATGTATTTGACACCAAAATCACAGGCAGCAAAAGTAGAAAAGTATAACTGAATCAAACTAAAAACTTATACACAGCAAATAAAAAGAGAGAATCAACAGGGTGAAAAGATAACATATACAATGGGAGAAAGCATTTGCAAATCATATATCTGATGAATTAATTTTCAAAATACACAAAGAATCCTTACAACTCAATAGCAATTTAAAAAACCCAATTAAAAAATGGGCAAATGACTTGAGTAGATATTTTTCCAAAGAAGACACACAAAGGGCAAACAGGTATATGAAAAGTTCTCAACATCACTAATCATTGGGGAAATGCAATGAAAACCACAAAGCGGAGCCAAGCATGGTGGCTCATGCCTGTAATCCCAGAGACATGGGAGGCTGAGGCGGGAGAATCTCTTGAACACAGGAGTTCAATCCTTTAGTGAGTTATGATTACACTACTGCACTCCAGCCTAAATGACACAGTGAAACTTTGCCAAAAAAACCCCACAAATAAACAAAGAAAACATGAAAATGATGTATCACCTCACCTCTATTAGGATGGTTATTATAAAAACTACGTAAAAACAAGTATTGGTGAAGCTGTGGAGAAATTGAAATCCTCGTCCACTTTTGGTGGATGATATGGTTTGGCTGTGTCCCCACTGAAAATCTCATCTAGAATTGTAGTTCCCATAATCCCCATACTCCCCACATGCCAAGGGCGGGACCAGGTGGAGGTAACTGGATAATGGGGACGGTTTTTCCCATGCTGTTTTCATAATGGGTGCATCTCACGAGATCTGATGGTTTTATAAGCATCTGGCATTTCCCCTGATGGCACTTATTCCATCCTGCCACCCTGTGAAGAAGGTACCTGCCTCTCCTTTGCCTTCCACCATGATTGTAAGTTTCCTGAGGCCACCCCAGCAATGCAGAACTGTGAGCCAGTTAAACCTCTTTCCTTTCTAAATTACCCAGGCTTGAGTATTTTTTCATAGCAGTGTGACAGCGGACTAACACGGTGGAAATGTAAAATGGTGCAGCCAATATGGGAAAAACTAAAAATAGAACTATCATATGATCCAGTAATCCCACTTCTGAGTGTTTATCCAAAGGGATTCAAATCAGGATCTTCACAAGACATAGCAGTGTTGTTTAAAAAACCCACTATGCATTGTTATTATTGCTTTAAACATTCTTTTAAATAGAACATGAGAAAGCAAAAGTCTTCACTATTAACCCATATATTTCCCATTTTTAGAGGTGCTTATGTCCGTTTGTAGATCCAATTTTCCCTATGACATATATTGTTCTACAGCAGGGACTTCCATTAACATTTCCTCCACTATTGGTATGGTGGGAAATAATTAAGCTAATTACATTTAAAATGTCTTTGATGCACCTTATTTTTTTTAAAAAGTACTATAGTTGGATATAGGAATTTAGGTTGATGGGAGTATTTCAGTGCTTTAAACATGCCATTCCAATGTCCATCAGATCCCATTATTTTGGATAAGAAATTAGTTGTAGCTCTGATCATTATTCTATAATCTTTTTTCTCAGATTGCTATTTTTTTCTCTTTATCAATCAGTGTTTTTCAGAAATTTAATTATAAAGTGCCTTTGTATAATTTCATACTTCCCCTGCCCCAGCTCCATGGTTTGTTAAGCTTTTTGGATTTGCAGCCTGTTATATTTCATCAATTCTGGAAATCTACAGACACTTTTTTTTTTTCAAATGGATCTCCCAACTTCATTTTTCTTATGGTACTCTAATAATTACATCATTTTAGATGGCTTGTTTTTACATTACAAGTTACAAAGGACACCTTATTTTTTCAGCCAGTTAAAATTATTATTCAGAGCTTCACATTATATATTTTCTATTGGAGTGTTTTGAAGTTAATTGATCTTTCTCTTTGTATTATCTAATATGCTGTATCAATTAGCTGTCTGTTTCTATACCTAAATATCTGAGACTGCGTAAAGGAAAGAGATTGATTTAGCTCATGATTGTAGTGACTGGAAAGTCCAAGAGCATAGCACTGGCATCTGCTGAGCTTCTGGTAGGGGCCACATGCTGCATCACAGCATGGCCAAGAAGCAGAAAGGTAAGTGGGCACGTGAAAAGAGAGACCAAAGATGAGGAGTGCTCTTGCTTTATAAGAAACAGCTTTCATAAAAATTAAACTATTCCAGTGATAACTAGTCCACTCTCAAGAGACGAAGAACTCACTTAGTACTGCAAGAATGACACTAAGCCACCCATGAGGGTGGATACCCCATAACCCAAATGCCTCTCATTAGGCCTCACCTCTTAAAAGTTCCAGCTCCCAACATTGCTGCACTGGAAATTAAGATTCCAACCTCAGTTTTGTCAGGAACGTTCAAACTGCAGCATATGCTAATGTATCTGGTGAATTTTTGATTTGTGATACTATAATTTTCAGGTCTATAATTTCCACTTGGTTAATTTTTATATCTTTTGGTTTCAAACCTCATTATGTTAATGTTATCTTTTAAATCCTTAACCATATTTACAATAGATGTTTTAATGTCTTTGCCTGCTTCTTCTCTCTTTTTCCATTCACTAAATAGTTCTATTGCTGGACATTGTGAATTACTTGCTATTGAGTGTCTGTATTTTGTTAACTTTCTCTTTAAATGTTTAAATTTTGTTTTAGTGGGCAGTTAATTTACTTGTTTTTAATATTTGTAAGGCTATATCTTACATTAGATTTTATTTTCACACTTATTTGCACCTATGACTCAGGTGTTGTTCCTCTAGGGCCTCTACTAGATGCTAGAGGTATTTAGAAACATTTCCCATTTTTGGCTGCTGGGAGCTTGAATGTTTCCCAGTCCTATAAGCAAACTGATAATACTTCATCTTAAATCTCCTTAATAATTTTTTCCCCCAGCCTTATGGTATCTTTTTTTCTCTGACTTTAAAGTTTAAAATCCAAAGTATTAAGCAGACATCTGGGCAGACTTCTGCAACAATTTCCCTGCATAGCTTTCTCCTTTTCAGTAATATGTTGCTCGAATAACAGACATTCCAGAGTCCCTAAGTTCTGATCTCTTTCTCTCAGCTCAGAGAAATCACTGTGCTTTGTTTGGATGTGTCCCTTACTTCTCCATTCCAGTTTGTGAAAGCTTCTCTAGATACAAAGCCAAACAATTTGGATTGGATAAATAGTGTCCCCCCAAAAAATATGTCCATCTGTGTCTTTGTCTGCTCAGTCTGCTGAAACAAAATGCTGCAGCAGGAATTTATTTATCACAGTTTAGAAGACTGGGAAATCTAAGATCAAGAAGCTTGCTGACTTGGTTTCCAGTGAGAAATCTCTTCCTGGCTTGTAGACAACGGCCTCTTCCTCTATCCTCAAATGACAGAGAGAGAGAGAAAGAGATAGAGATATTGTGATTGAGCTCTCTGGTGTCTGTTCTTAAAAGGACACTAATCCTATTGTATCAAGGTCCCACCCCCATGAGCTAATTTAACCTAATTACCTCAAAAAGGCTCTGTCTCCAAATACAGTCACATATGAATTTGGTGGGCAGGGGAAGGACACAGTCAGTCTATAACAACCTATAACCTTAGAGTGTGGCTTTACTTGAAAATAGGGTATTTCCAGAAGTAATTAGTAAGATTCAGTTGCATCGGACAACAGATGACCCTAAATTCAATATGACCAATGTCTTCATAAGGTGAAGAGAGGACGAACAGAGACGCAAACATACACACAGAGAAGCTGGAGGCAGAAACTGGAATTAGGCTGCTACAAGCCAAGGAATGCCAAGGACAGCCAGCAACCAACAGTAACCAGGAATATCTGGGAACAAAAGAGAGAAAGAGGCAATGGAGGGTTCTTTATGCTCCTGGGCTTACAGCCTCCAAAACTCTGAGAGAATAATTCACTGTTGTTTTATGTCACCCAGTTTGTGGTAATCATCTCATTTTTTTTTAACATTGACCAGAATGCTGCACAAATATCCAAGATCTGACAAAAAATTGTTTTATATGTTTTGTACAGTTTTCTTTTGGCTTGCAGGAAGAGGACAAATCTGATTCAAGTTACTCCATAGTGGCTGGAGACAGAAGTCTCACTGTGCCCAATTTAAATCTGAACCGGATATACAAGTATCTTCTCGCCAGCAGTCTATAAGAAATATTTTCTCACACTTCAATTGACATTGTGTATATCATCTTTATTAACTATCGCTAATGAAATATATGAGAAATTTAATCTTACTGTTTTATTTGGCATTTTCAGTATCACCAAAGAGATAGAATATATTTTTATATGCTTGTCATTTATGCTTTCTTACTGTGTATCATCTGTTGACATAATTAGTTCATCATTTTCTGCCTTATTACAATTTTTCCCATTGATCATTAAAATTGTTTAATATTAAGAAAATTTTTATGCTATGTGTATATTTTTCCTGGCATTTTAAAGTTATAAAATAAACAAAAGTGTTAATTTTATTAAGATTTCTTAATCTCATTATTTTTTGCTTATAAGATTTATGCCTTGATTAGGAAAGCATTATCTTTTTCATTAATTAATTAATTTATTTATTTTTGAGATGGAGTCTTGCTCCGTTGCCACTCAGGCTGGAGTTCAGTGGCGTGGATCTTGGCTTACTGCAACCTCCATCTCCTGAGTTCAAGCGATTCTTCTGCCTCAGCCTCCTAAGTACCTGGGGTTACTGGCATGAGTGCCACCATGCCTGGCTAATTTTCTTGTATTTTTAGTAGAGACAGGGTTTCACCATGTTAGCCAGGCTGGTCTCAGATTCCCGAACTTAGGTGATCTGCCCGCTTCAGCCTCCCAGATTGCTGGGATTACAGGCATGAGCCACCCCACCCAGTCTAGAAAAGCATTCTCATTTAAAAATTACCTTCTGTGTTTTCTATGTAACCTTTACATTAAATTTTACTTTTAAAACTTTGATACTGTTCAAAATTATATGATATAAAAAGCAAAAATGCATTTATCTGTTTATTTCAAAATTAAATAACCAGTTTCCCCAACCTAATTTTTTGAAAAATCTTTTTTTTGCCCTCTGATCTTGTATTACACCCCAACATAACACATTTCATACATAGCTCTTTTACATTAATTCCAGAGGTGTTGAACTGTATATAGGGTAGGTTATGATTTCCAAAATACATGCTGAAAGAGCACGCCAATATTTGAGAGTATTTTTTATTTCCTCTGGATAGATTTATAATATTCATAGTTTAAATAATGTTAATATTCATCAAATATATCATATATATTGCCAAATTAGCTCTAGAGTATAGTAACAATACACACGTCTATTAGAAATATGTAAGTTTCTGTTTATCCATAACTTCACCAACACAGGCTGGTCAATCATTAGGCAGCAATTGTCTAGTGTTTTAACTGGCACTGGTTTCATTAACTGGCTTTATTATTGATGAAGCCATATACTTTATCAGCTTGAGATAAATATTTGATTATTTTGTTTTGAGTATTTTGACCATTTTTTATATTTCTGTTATTTCTATATGTCTGTTATCCTTCTCATTGATTTATAGAACATTTATGTATTAAGAAATATTAATATATGAACATTTATATACAAGAATATTAAACTTTTATTGTTATATATAAGGTAATTATGTTGCCATGTAATTTATTAGTGGCTTAATTTAGTTTACTGTATCATTATTCTGCACACCTTAATTTTGCATATAGTAGAAATAATCATGCTTTTGCATGCTTGTACAGTAATCTTCTCTTTCTCTTTCCTAGAGTTTGCCCTCGCTATCAGCTCACCCTGAACGGATCCACAGAGTAATTACGTGGTATAGAACTAGATGCCCTCGGCACAAATTCAATGTCATATAGAGCCCAGAATGAGTACACTGTCCATTCAGATTTTCAGGAAAGGTAAATTTACAACAGAATGGAGCCCATGAGGAAACAGCAAACCATGTTCTTTAATTGCCAAGGTATTTTTTCCTTTTAAATGAAGACAGAGAAAGCCATGGTCTAGAGACCACCTAGGCCTTGAGAAAGACAGAGACAGATAGAGATAGTTATTTTCTCACATTTAAATTTCTCTTAAGGTGTTTCTCTTATTCCTGTATCTCATTTTTATGCGATTTCTCATTATCTTTTTACTTACTTTGGTCTGTTTTAACTTTTTTTCCTAATTAATGTTGCCTATTTTTCAAATGCATTTCTAGCACTGTGCTTCGTTTGAACAAAATAAATATTATATGAAGTGACCTTCAGATTTTATTAAAAAGATATGCTTCAAATAACACTTACTTCCATACACTTTGTCATATCTAATTCAATTTTCTTTTGCTGCTTTACACTTAGAAATCCTCAGTATCAATGATGATATCTCTTAGTCACTAACCATATAAATTCGTGAATAACATATCTGAAATCTCAACAAACGACTATGGTATTTATTTTTTCTTAATCATTATGCAGATGTATATGCCTTTTTGAGGGGAAAAAAAGGTAGAAGAAAGACAAACAGATCCAGAGTATCTTAATGTGTATATATTTAATATTTGCACATTGTATTGTAAAATATAATGTATATGTGGAAAGGAATATCAAGTATAAATGTATGGATTAAATTAATTATTATAAAGTTGCATTTAGAGATTTTATGCAATTTTAAGTGTTCCCACAACAAAAATATATATAATGTGAGGTAATGTGTATTTTCATTAGCTCAATTTAGCCATTCCACACTGCATACATATTTTGAACCATTTGTACACAATAAATATATATATTTTTAAAAAATTACATTATAATTTTATTAATTTTTTAAATTTGAAAATTTAGTGGAGCTGTATGTTTTGTAGCTATAGTCACAGCCACCAAAGCCTTTCTAAAGTTTGTACTTGACCTGAGTGAATTTAACCAAGCAATTTGGGAACTGAATTTGGGCTCTGTGCTATAGGACTTGGTACTACCACTGGGGGAGGCCATGAACTCTGCACCTCCACCGGGAAAATTTTACATATATATATTTGAAATGTATATAAAGGTGTTGTATAGACTAACTAGTGGTGGGCTGATGAAATGACCTCTGGCTAAAATAGAAATAAACATAAATACGGAATAATAATGAAGTGGCAATAGTGAAATCAGCCCAAACTTGTTTGCAAAGAATTTATTCTATGCTATGTGGTAAGAGTTCAATAAACTGCCTCCATCACTTTCTACCCCACACCCAAAGGAAGTGAGACATTGTTGCGACTGTGTGTCATTTATATTGAGCTTCAAAAGAGAAGAAAATTGTCTCTGTGTTCCTGTCTAGACATCCATAGGTAAAGGAGAATAATTATTTAAATTATGATATAATTTACATAATTACATAATAATTAGATGTGGAAACTAACCAGGTACTTTCTTGACATACAGCAGTCAAAACTTTGTTGAACTAGCATTTTGTGACTTAAATACTCTGATTGTTTAAAAAAAACAGGGAAGCTGGAAATTGGAATGAGAAAGGGGTTTATGAGAGATCCCATTAGGTCCTTACAGCATATTTTCCTCTAACCCACCTTTTTATCTCTCAGCACACTCTGACCCAGAGACTTTCACTGGAAAGTGGGGAAGAGTTGGGGGATGGGAGTGATGGGCAAATGTTTCCCACAGCTTGTTTCTGTCATTGTATTATAAATAAGAGCCTGTCATGAGGACCATTAAGCAGATAACAATGAAGGAAGATGGAGACTTGTGCCACTTAGTTCCTAAGCAACAGAAGCCCATCAGTCATGTCACCTCTGTACCAGATGCAGCTCTGCAGATCAGGCAGTCTGTGCAGAGAACCACACAGGTGCATGGAAAATTGCAGGATCAACCAACTGCTCTTGGTTTTAACATTGGTTCCCAAGTATGAATCTGATAGAAATTTCCCTGAAGCTTCAGGAAGGTAATATTACCAGGAGATGCTTGGCCTGTTTATCAGACCTATCTCCACCCATTCAAACTCACACAGAATGAAATCTTGTCCCTCCAGCAATCTTCTGCCTACAGACAAGGGAAGTCATCAGTGCCTTGCCTAAAATGACCTGTTCTGTTTGTGTGATGGATTATGTTTATTGATTTGCATATGTTGAACCAGCCTTGCATCCCAGGGGTGAAGGTGACTTGATCATGGTGGATAAGCTTTTAATGTGCTGCTGGATTTGGTCCGCCAGTATTTTACTGGGGATTTTCACGTTGATGTTCATCAGGGATATTGGCCTGAAATTTTCTTTTTCTGTGGTGTCTCTGCCAGATTTTGGTATCAGGATGATGCTGACCTAATAAAATGAGTTAGGGAGGAATCCCTCTTTTTCTATTGTTTGGAATAGTTAGTTTCAGAAGGAATGGTACCAGTTCCTCTTTGTACCTCTACCTCTCTTTGTAGGTCTCTAAGAACTTGCTTTATGAATCTGGGTGCTCCTGTATTGGTGCATATATATTTAGGATAGTTAGCTCCTCTTGTTGCAATGATCCATTTACCATTATGTAATGCCCTTTTGTCTTTTTTGATCTTTGTTGCTTTAAAGTCTGTTTTATCAGAGACTAGGATTGCAACCCCTACCTTTTTTTTTTTTTTTTTTTGCTTTCCATTTGACTGGTAAATCTTCCTCCATCCCTTTATTTTGAGACTATGTGTATCTTTGCACGTGAGATGTGTCTCCTGAATACAGCACACTGATGGATCTTGACTCTATATCCAATTTGCCAGTCTGTGCCTTTTAATTAGGGCATTTAGCCAGCTTACATTTAAGGTTAACATTGTTACGTGTGAATTTGATCCTGTCATTATGATGCTAGCTAGTTATTTTGCCCGTTAGTTGATGCAGTTTCTTCATAGTGTCTATGGTCTTTACATTTTGGTTTGTTTTTGCAGAGGCTGGTACCGGTTTTTCCTTTTCATATTTAGTACTTCCTTCAGGAGCTCTTGTAAGGCAGGTCTGGTGGTAACAAAATCCCTCAGCATTTGCTTGTCTGTAAAGGATTTTATTTCCTCTTCACTTACGAAGCTTAGGTATGAAATTCTGGGTTGAAAATTCTTTTCTTTAAGAATGTTGAATATTGGCCCCCACTCTCTTCTGGCTTTCAGGGTTTCTGCAGAGAGATCCACTGTTAGTCTGATGGGCTTCCCTGTGTTGCTTTTACACTGTTGGTGTGAGTGTAATTAGCTCAACCATCGTGGAAGAGAGTGTGGCGATTCCTCAAGGATCTAGAGCTAGAAATACCATTTGACCCAGAAATCCCATTGCTGGGTATACACCCAAAGGATTATAAATCATTCTACTAAAAAGACACATGCACACGTACGTTTATTGCAGCACTATTCACAATAGCAAAGACTTGGAACCAACCCAAATGCCATCAATGTTAGACTGGATAAAGAAAATGTGACAAATATGCACCATGGAATACTATGCAGCCACAAAAAAGAATGAGTTCATGTCCTTTGCAGGGACCCAGATTTAGCTGGAAACCATCATTTTCAGCAAACTAACACAGGAAAAGAAAACCAAACACCGCATGTTCTCACTCATAAGTGGGTGTTTAACAATGAGAACATATGAGCACAGGGAGGGGAACATCACACACTGGGGGCCTTTTGGGGGTCAGGGCAAGGGGAGAAAGCATTAGCAGAAATACCTAATGTAGACAACCGGTTGATGGGTGCAGCAAACCACCATGGCACGTGTGTACCTATGTAACAAATCGGCACGTCCTGCACATGTATCACAGAAGTTACAGTATAATAAAAAATAAAAAATATGGAAACTGTCAAAAAATATATATAGGTATAAACATAAATATGGATGTTAATGTATGTATATGTAGGCTCAAACACTCTCATGTATACATACGTAAATACATGCATGTATATATTTAGCACCATGCATTAAATTGCCTGGGATCATTGGCATCCCAATAGCAATGAGTCTTTCTAAGGCCCAGGTCTTGGCTTCTAAGTTCCATTTTCCACTTAAGAGAACCAGAAGTAACTGATTCCAGAGCTAAGTAGGAAAGTATAAGATAAACTTGAACACCTTGTAGTGCCAAAGTGCTCAAAGAATGACGAGGACTTGTCGAAAGATCACAGAAATCAACATAAATGGAATTCCCAATGGTCAAACTGGATTAACATAAGTATCAAAATTAAAAAAAAACTCAAATTGTATAATAAATTATATAATTTTTTAGTTCATCTGGATGAATACGCAAATTGTATAATTTTTTTAGTATATTTCCAGATGAACTAAAAATTATTCTACCACTTAATTAAAATTTCCTAAGGTATTTTATTGGAATGTCCTTAAATTGACCAATAACTTTTTGAAGAAAAGACTAAAAGTCTTCTCAAAATTAAATTATTTCTTTAAGGAAAATGATATATATTTTCACATATTTGCAACTATATTTTAATTTCTAAGCAAAGTTGTACAGTTTTTGTGTGTGTGTGTGTTTTTTCTTGCACATTTCTTTTTTTGAGACTCCTCTTAAACTTTCAGATTTAAAAAAAACATTTTCCCATACAATATTTTAAAGTGTTATTACTATTAGGGTAGAAATATGTTGCTCACCAAAATTCATTTTGTCATATTTTTGGACAAACAGACTATTTTTCCAGACACACTTCCAGTCCTATACAATAAACACTACCCAAGCATGCCCACTATTGCTCAGAGGCTTTACTTAATGCTTAGAATTTTCCGTGTGACCATGCAGGCTCAATTATATATTCCATTCTCCTTCAATCCAATGTTATTTTTCTCTATTATTTTGTGTTTACATTCTGACTGCATTGTATTTAACATTTAGAGAATTTTAAAATGAGAGGAATAATGAAAATCCTGTGAATTGCTAATTTTAGTGTATGTGACTCTGTTTCTTCATGAAGAATGTCAGATATTGGTTCTTAGTAATTTTATAAGGTGTTAAGGAAACGTACATTTTTATAAGTAATTAAAATGTGTGTTATAAACATATTCTAAAAATTTTAAAATGTATTTAAACATACATATTCATACAAATAAATTGTATAAAATTATCATTGTCTGTCTCTACATCCTAATGCTCTATGTATTTCTTATAAAACATAGTAAACTATGTTCTCTGTTATTCTATGTAAAATAGGAATTGTGAAAAAAATATTTATCTTCAAATCTGTTGTTTGCCTTTATTTAGTATATCCCATGTATCTATCCCAGTACTTAGCATATAATAATCACTAGAGTTCTTCCTCTAGAATTCTAACTTTGGTTATGTACCTGTGTGTAACCAGTACATTTTTAACTTCCCCAAGTCTCAATTTCTCTTGGAAAATAAAGATTAAAATTATCCTGAGTGATTGTGGGGATCAAATGAGATATTATTGAAAATTATAAGGGCCCCCAATACTCTTTCCAGCCTCCTGTAACCATTCTTGTACCCTTTATGCCCATGAGTTCCCCAGAAATACATACACCTACTATGTAACCACAAAATTTTTAACTATAAAAATAAAAAATATAGAAAAGTGCTAGGAATAGAGCTTGCATATGGCAAAGCTGTAACTGCTATTGCCCATGGTTGCTGCTATCATTATTAACATTATTTTTTGCCTGATATTAAATCATTTTATGCATGGAATACTGGGTGAAACTATGTTTTTGTTTTATTATTATTTTTATGTTTGCATGACATTTGATTTAAGACCTTGTATTAGTCTGCTGTCATGCCACTGATAAAGACATACCCAAAACTGGGCAATTTACAAAACAAGGAGGTTTAATGGACTTACAATTCCACATGGTTGGGGAAGCCTCACAATTACAGCAGAAGGCAAGGAGGAGCAAGTCATGTCTTACATGAATGGCAGCAGGAAAAGAGAAAGAGAAAGCTTGTTCAGGGAAACACCATCACATAAAGCCATCAGATCTTGTGAGACTTATTCACTATCATGAGAACGGTATGGGAAAGACCCTCCCCCATGATTCAATTATCTCCCACTGGGTCCCTACCACAACACATGGGAATTCAAGATGAGATTTGGGTGGGGACACAGCCAAACCATATTATTCTGCCCCTTGCCTCTCCCAAATCTTATGTCATCACAATTCAAAATCAATCATGCCTTCACAACAGTCTCCCAATGTCTTAACTTATTTGAGCATTAATTCAAAAGTCCACAGTCCAAAGTCTCAGTTGAGACAAGGCAAGTCTCCTCTGTCTATGAGCCTGTAAAGTCAAAAGTAAATTGGTTACTTCCTAAATACAATGGGAGTATGGCCATTGGTCAAATAAAGCCATTCCAAATGAGAGAAATTGGCCAAGACAAAGGGGTTGCAGGCCCCATGCAAGTCCGAAATCCAGCGGGACAGTCAAATCTTAAAGCTACAAAATGGTGTCCTTTGACTTTATGTCTCACATTCAGGTCATGCTGATGCAAGAGGTGGGTTCCCATGGTCTTGAACAGCTCCACCCCTGTGGCTTTGCAGGGAACAGCCTCCCTCCCAGCTGCTTTCACAGGCTGGTGTTGAGTGTCTGTGGCTTTTCCAGGCACATGGTGCAAGCTGTCAGTGTACATAGCATTCTGGGGTCTGGAAGACAGTGGCCCTCTTCTCACAGATCCACTAGGCAGTGTCCCAGTAGGGACTCTGTGTGGGACCGCCAAACCTACATTTCCCTTCTGCACTGCCCAAGGAGAGGTTCTCCATAAAGGGCCCCACTTCTGCAGCAAATTTCTGCCTGGACATCCAGGTTTTTCCATACATCCTCTGAAATCTAGGTGGAGGTTCCCAAACCCCAATATTTGACTTCTATGCACTGACATGCTGGACACCATGTGGAAGCCTCCAAGACTTGAGGCTTGTACCCTCTGAGCCATGGTCTGAGGTCTATGTTGGCCTCTTTGAGCCATGGCTGCTGCGGCTGGGACACTGGGCACCAAGCACCTAGGCTCCACATGGCACAGGATCCTGGGCCCAGCTCATGAATCTACTTTTTCTACCTAGGCCTCTGGGCCTGTGATGGGAGGGGATGCCCAGATTTCTGACATGCCCTGAAGACATTTTCCCAATTGTCTTGGGGATTAACATTTGGCTCCTCATTACTTATGCAAATATCTGCAGCCCGCTTGAATTTCTCCTCAGAAAATGGGATTTTCTTTTCTATCTCATTGTCTGGCTTCAAATTTTCTGAACTTCTATGCTCTGCTTCCTTTATAAACGGAATGTCTTTAACAGCACCTGAGTCACCTCTTGAATGCTTTGCTGCTTAGAAATTTCTTCTGCCAGATAACCTAAATTACCTCTCTCAAGTTCAAAGTTTCACAAATCTCTAGGGCAGGGGCAAAATGCCGCCAGTCTTGTTGCTAAAACATAACAAGAGTCCCATCCCCTTTGCTCCAGTTATCAAAATGTTCCTCATTTCCATCTGAGACCACCTCAGCCTGGACTTTATGCTCCGTATCCCTATCAGCATTAGGGCAAAGCCATTCAACAAGTCTTTAGGGACTTCCCACATTTTCCTGTCTTCTTCTGAGCCCTCCAATCTGTTCCAACCTCTGTCAATTGTCCACTTCTGAAGTCACTTCCACATTTTTGGGTAGCTTTTCAGCAGTGTCTCACTCTACTGTTACCAATTTACCGTATCAGTTTGTTTTCACGCTGCCAATAAAAACATACCTGAGAATGGGCAATTTAAAAAAGAAAGAGCTTTAATGGACTTAGAGCTCCATGTGGCTGGAGAAGCCTCACAGTCATGGTGGAAGGCAAGGAGGAGCAAGTCACTTCTTACATGGATGGCAGCAGGCAAAGAGAGAGATTGAGCTTGTGCAGGGAATCTCTGCCTTATAAATCAATCAGATCTTGTGAGACTTATTCACTGTCATGAGAAAAACACAAGAAAGACCACTCCCCATGATTCAGTTACCTTTCACCAGGTCCATCCCACATCTGAGAATTCAAGATGAGATTTGGGTGGGGACACAGCCAAACCATATCAGAGCTACATGTATACATACATAATATTAATATTATATTTTAGAGATTATTAATATTTTTATATTTTCATTTCTAGGTTTTACAAAATTTCTCTTCTAATGAATTGAGCAATTTTTCCCATTTTCTTAAACTCTAACAAATTACTACTTCATTGCCGGTTTTAATGAATTAAAGCAATATGAAAATATATAACTATCACACATTGTTGTAAATATGCAATAGACATTTATTATACATACCTATTTTATTCTTGTTTTGTTTCTACATAGACAAAAGAAACAAGAAAACAATCCATATAAAAAATCTGCAGCATCTAATAATATTTTTGCTTTTGTGAAGAAAACTAAGACTATTTACACGTACAAATTCTAATGAAAGGACAGTCTTTTTAAAGAAGTGAGATTACTTTGATCATCTCACAATTCCTCTATCACATATGCTTAACAATATTCCATTCCATTATATTATTCATTTCTAAGTAAAATCTGAGGAAGCAACATAGAAAATATTTTAAAAAATAGATTTCACTTTTTAGAGCAGTTATAGGTTCACTGCACTATGAAGCAGAAAGTACAGACAGTTCACTAATTTCCCCTCTCCCTTCCCCTCCAGCCTTTCTCACTATCAACGTTCACGCCAGAGTGATGCACTTGTTACAAATATAATACACACTTGTTACTTATGTTAAAAATACACAACACCCGGAGTATACCATAATATAAACTATAGACTGCAGGTAATGATACACTTGTGTATGTTATGTTGTGTATGTTACAAAAGAACAAACATATCATTACCTGCAGTCCACAGTTTATATTATGGTACACTCCAGGTGATGTGTATTCTATGGGTTATGACAAATGTTTAATGACATGTAACCCCCATTATAGAATCATGCAGAATATTTCCACAGTGCTAAAATTCCTCTGTGCACTGTCTATCACTCTCTTCCCTCTAACTCCTTGCAGCTATCATTTTTTTTCAAATTGGCTTCTTTCACTTAGTAATATGCATTTAAATTTCCTCCATGTCTTTTCGTGACTTGATAGCTTATTTCTTTTTAGTGCTGAATAATACTCCATTTTCTGAATGAACAGTTTATTGTACATGTACCAACTCAACATCTAGGTTGCTTCTTAAGTTTTGGCAGTTATGAATAAAGCTTGTATAAACATCTGTGTGCAAGTTTTTGTGGAAACATAAATGTTCCACCTATTTAGGTAAATATCAAGGAGTGTGATTCCTGGATAATCAGTAAGAATATGTTTACTTTTGTAAGAGACTGCCAAAGTGTCTTCAAAAGTGGCTGTAATATTTTTCATTCCTACCAGCAATTATTGTGAGTTTCTGTTACTCCCCACCTTTGCCATCATTTGAAGTTCTCAGCGTTTTGAATTTTTGCCATTCTTATAGTTGTAATAGTAGTATCTCCTGCTTTAATTTTCAATTATTAAATAAATGAAATGAAAATATGGAGCAATTTTCCTGTGCTTACTTGCCATCTGTACATCTTCTTTGGTGAAGTGTCCAAGTCCTTTGCCAATTTTTAAATTGGGTTGTTCATTTTCTTATTGATAGTGCTTTGTATATTTTAAAAAATAGTCCTTTATCAGACATGCATTTTCAAAATATTTTGTTTCACTCTGTGGCTTGTCTTCACATTTTCTTGAGGGTATCTTTCACAGAACAGGAGTTTTAATTTTAATGAAGTCTAGCTTATCTAATGTTTCTTTCATGGATTGTGCCTTTGTCTACTCTTTTACTAATGGCATTTGTTTTTGATTAATGTAGCTTTATTGTGAGTCTTGAAGTTGGATAGTATCTGTCTTTCAAATGTATCTCTCTCCTTCACTACTATGTTTTCTATTCTGGGTGTTTTGTTGGTGCATGCAGAGTTAGATTGTCAGTATCCACAAAATAACTTGCTATGACTTTGATTGGGATCGCATTGACTCTATAGATCAAGTTAGAAATAAGTGTTATTTTGATAATATTGAGTCTTCCTATACACTAACATAAAATACCTCTGCATTTATTTAGTTATTCTTTGATATGTTTTCTCACAGTTTTATAGTTTACTTCATGTGTATCTTGCATACAGAGTTTGATTTGTAACGAGTATTTCATTTTTGTGTGTAAATAACATTGTGTAAATGGTATTTTACCCTCACATTCCACTTGTTCATTTCTAGTATAGTGGAAAGTAACTGGCTTTTGTATATTAACCTTGTATCCTAAAACCTCCCCGTTGATTTCTTCAGATTTTCTACATAGATAATCATGTCACCTGCAAACAAAGACAGTTTTCTTTCTTCCAAGTCTGTATACCTTTTGTTCTTTTTCTTCCTTTTCTTGTTAGATAGCTAATACTTCCAGTAGTTATTGAAAAGAAATGGTAAGAAGGGGTATCTTTGCCTCTTTCCTGATCTTAGCAGGAAAGCTATGAGTTTCTCACTACTAACTATAATATTAGTTGTAGGTGTTTTGCAGATGTTTGATATGATGTTTCCCCACCCAAATCTCATGTTAAATTATAATCCTCGATGTTGGAGGAGACATCCAGTGTGAGGTGATTGGATCATGGGGGCAGATATTCCATTTGCTGCTGTCATGATAGTGAGTGAGTTCTCACAAGATCTGGTTGTTTAAAAGTGTGTAGCACTTCCCCCTTCACTTGCTTCCTCCTTCTCCAGCCACATAAGATGTGCCTTTTTTCACTTCACCTTCTGATATGATTGTAAGTTTCCTGAGGCCTCCCCAGCCACACTTCCTGTACAGCCTGCAGAACTGTGAATCAATTAAAACTCTTTCCTTTATAAATTGCCCTGTCTTGGGTAGTTCTGCATAGTGATGTGAGAATGGACAAATACAAGTTGAAGAACATTGTATTAGTATATATCTATTTCTAGTTTGCTAGGTGTTCTTATTATTAACGAATGTTGAAATCTTTCAGATATTTTTCTGCATCTATAGATAAGAATTATCAGTTTTTCCTGTTTTTTGGTGTGTTCCTGTAATAGTTTAGATTAACTGATTTTTGAATGTTCAACCACCTTGTATGTCTGAAATAAATTTCACTTCATCATGGTATGTAATTCATTTTATACGTTGTTGAATTTGATCTTCTAATTTTTTGGACAACTTTTGCATCAATATTCATGAGATATATTGATCTGTAGTTTTCTTATACTGCTTTTGTCTAGTTTTGGTTACTAGGGTAATGCTGGCCTCAGAATTAGTAAGCATTCATTTGGCTTCTATCTTCTGGAATAAATTGTAAAGAATTGGTATAATTTTTATCTTAAGTGTTTATTATAATTCGCTAGTGAACCCCTCAGGATGGTACTTCTGGAAGATTGCTAATTGTTGATTAAATTTAGTTAATAGTTACAGGCTTTTTAAAATTTTCTATTTCTTCTTGTGTATTTTTGTACATTGTGTTTTTCAAAGAATAGGTCCATTTTATCTAGATTCTCAAATTTGTGAGCACCTAGTTGTTCATAATATTATTCTATTACCCTTCTTTCAATATCCATGGGATCTGTAGTGATGTATCTCATTTCATGTTTAATATTAGTCACTTGTGTCTTCTCTATGTTTTTTCACAGTTAGCCTGGCAGGAGGCTTACTGACTTTATTGATCTTTGCAAAAACCAGTTTTTTGTTTTGTTGATTTTCCCTATCAATTTTTGATTTCAATTTAATTTTGCTGTCTTTGAATTAAATTTGCTATCTTTTTCTAGTTTCCTATGCTGCAAGAATACATTATTGATTTTATTTTTTCTTTAATATATGCATTTGATGCTATAGATTTTCCTCTAAGCATTGCTTTTGCTACATCACTCAAAACCTGTAAAATTTTACTTTGATTTTCATTTAGTTCAAAATATTTAAGTCTCTCTTGAGTTTCTGTTTTGATCTATGTACAATTTAGAAGGGCGTTGTGTGCTTTCTAAGTATTTGGGGATGTTCCAGTTATCTTTCTGTTATTGATTTCTTGTTTAATTCCATTGTGATCTGAGAACATACACTGCATGATTTTTTTCTTTTAAATTTGTTATGGTTTTCTTTATGGCCTAGAATGTGGCCTATCTTGGTGAAAGTTCCACGTAAGTTAGAGAAGAATGTGTGTTCCACTCTTATTTAATTAAGTAATCTGTAGATTTCAACTATATCTGGTACTGATTTTCTAGCTGATGGCTGTTTCTATTTTTTAGAAAAGGGTGTTGAATTCTCCAATAATGAATTCATCTATTTCTCCTTGTAGCTCTACCAGATTTCACCTCATGCATTTTTACTCTCTGTTAGGTCCATGCACATGAATGATTGTTGTCTTCTAGGAGAATTTACCCTTTTATTATGATATGTCCCTTTTCCTTATTCTGAAGTGTAATCTGCCTGAAATTAATAAAACTTCTTCTGCTTTATTTTTAGTAATAGTACGGTACATCTTTCTATATATATTTTTAATCTGTATGTGTCTTTATATTTAAAGAAGATTTCCTGAAGAAAATATATTATCTTCTTTTTGAGCCACTCTGACAATCTGTTTTTTAATTGGTGCCATTAATTTTGGGAAACTTTTAGACCTTATTGCTTCCAAAATTTCTTCTTTGTTTTTCTCTATTCCCATCATGCATATGTTACACTTTTCATAGTCAACACACAACTTTTCTTGGCATTTTTAAAATTTAATTTAATTTTAAGTTCAAGGATACATGTGCAGGTTTCTTACACAGGTAAACATGTGTCATGGTGGTTTTCTGCACCTATCAACCCATCACCTAGGTATCAAGCCCTGAATGCATTAGCTATTTATCTTAATGCTTTCCCTTCCTCTGCCTCCCCCAACAAAAGGACACTGTGTGAGTGTTGTTTCTGTCCCTGTGTCCATGTGTTCTCATTGTTCAGCTCCCAGTTGTAAGTGAGAAGATGTGGTGTTTGGTTTTCTGTTCCTGTGTTAGTTTGCTGAGGATAATGGCTTCCAGCTTCATTCATGTCCCTGCAAAATACATGAGCTCATTCCTTTTTATGACTGCATAGTATTCCGTAGTGTATATGTACCACATTTTATTTATCCAGTCTATAATTGGTGAGCATGGGGGTTAATTCCATGTCTTTGCTATTGTGAATAGAGCTGCAATTAACATACATGTGCATGTATCTATATAAGAGAATGATTTCTATTTCTTTGGATATATACCCAGTAATGGGATTGCTGGGTCAAATGGTGTTTCTGGTTCTAGATCTTAGAGGAATTATCACACTGTGTTCCACAATGGTTGATCTAATTTACATTCCCACCAATAGTGTAAAAGTCTTTCTATTTCTCCACAGCCTCACTAGCATCTCTTGTTCCTTGACTTTTTAATAATCACCACTCTGACTGACATGAGATGGTATCGCATTTTGGTTTTGATTTGCATTTCTCTGATGATCAGTGATGTTGAGCTTTTTTTCACATGTTTGTTGGCTGCATAAACGTCTTCTTTTGAGAAGTGTCTGTTCCTGTCCTTTGCCCACTTTTTGATGGGGTTGTTTTTTTCTTGTAAATTTGTTTAAGTTCCTTGTAGATTCTGAACATTAGACCTTTGCAGGTGTCTTTATATTTGAAGAGAATTTCTTGCAGAAAATGTAGCATCTTCTTTTTGAGCTGCTCTTATAACCTTTTTAAATTGGTGCCATTAATTTTTGGAATTTTTCAGACATTATTGCTTCAAATATTTCTTCTTCGTTTTTCTTTATTCCCATTTTATATATATGTTATATTTTTCATGGTCATCCCACAATTCTTGACTATTCCATTCTGATTTTTTTAGTATTTTTTCCTTCTCTGTTTTGGAGGTTTCCATTGACACATGCTCAAGTTTATATTTTTACTCTTAGCAGTGTCTAGTCTACTAATGAACCCATCAAAGGCATTCTTCATTTGTTACATTCTTTTTAATTCTTCTTACTTCTATTTAATTCTTCCTTAGAATTTCCATCTCTCTTATTGCACTACCCCTATGTTTTGCATGCTGTCTACTTTTTCTGTAGAGCTTTTGGCACATTAATACTAGTTATTTAAATTCTCAGTCTGATAATTCCAACATTCCTGTCATATCTGTGTCTGGTTCTAATGTTTGCTCTTTCACTTCATACTGTGTGTGTGTGTGTGTGTGCATGTTTACCTTTTACTATGCCTTGTAATTTTTGGTTAAAGGTTGAAAATGATATACCACATAAAACAAACTCTGCTGGATAGGCCTTTAGTCATGTGGTGGTAAGGTGTGAGGGCAGGGGAAGCATTCTATAGTCCTATGATTGGGACTCAGGATTTTAATCAGCCTGTACAATCACCACTCAATCCTCCACCCAGCCCAACCCTAGTCTTAGGTGAAAAAGGATGTCTAGTAGGGATGGGAGTTGGGTATTTCCCGTCTCCCACATGACAAGTTAGAGCAGGCTAGCATAGAGTATTTCCCTTCTGCTAAGTTGGTCAAGTTCTGATAAAACCTCAGTATCTTGGGATTTGGTAAAATAGTTTCTTTTGAGGGTAGACTGTGTTAAGAATAAGATACTTTGGGCATATTTTGAAATGTCTGCATTTCCTCTCCCTCCACAGGAAACATGAGGAGATTTTTCTCTGATCTTCACTGTGAGAACACGGTAGGGCTCCTGGAGGTAAAGCTTACAAAAGTGTCCTCCTCCATGAATGGATCCCCCTGGAGATTTTGACTCTCAGACTTGTCCACAGTGAACTTCTAGAAATTTATCAATTACAGTTTAGGTTTTCCTACTCCAGTATTGGTTCCTATGCAGGTTTCTACTTATAGGATTTGCTCCGGTAAATTGCTGTTCCCTTTGCCTGCTTGTCTGTCTTTCCAATATTTGTGGCAGCAGTTTGCCCTGTGACTTCAATTCACTGATAGGTTTTTAAAAAGTTGTTGATTTTTTATTTGTTTAGTCTTTCACTATTTAGGACAGAGTAATGAATGCCAAGCTCTTTACATGCTGAACTAAAAACTGGAAGTCTAATTTTTCTTAATGAATCTCTAGAGTGTGTATGTATTTCTTGAAGGAATTTACAATGTAGAAGTCATTGAACATATCTTTAAAATATATGTTTCCTATCACACATTCTTAGAAAATAATACATGTTGTCATAGTCCATTTTGTTCTGCGATAACAAAATACTTCAGACTGGGTAATTCATAAATAAGAAAAGCTTATTTCTTACAGCTATGGAGACTGGAAAGTTCAAGATCAAGGTGCTGTTACACTGTTTTTTTATGAACAGTCTCCGCTTCTCAGATGCTGCAATGAACACTGCATCCTTCAGAAGAGAGGAACGCTGTTCTCACAAGACAGAGGAATGCGAGAGCAAGAGAGGGTTCAACTGGCCCTTTTATGAGGGCACAAATCCCACCCAGGAGAGTAGAGCCCACATGGCTTAATCACTTCTTTAAGGATCCCACCTGTCGATACTGTCACAATGACAATACACTTCAACATGACTTTTAAAGGAGACAGTCAAACCATAGCACACACACACAATAATTCTCAATAAAGCACAGCAAAAAATACACCAATATTCTTAAAATTATTGCAGCATCTTTAAAAGCTATCACCTTACTCTGTTACAAGTATAACCAGAAGAAAATATTTTAAAAATATGAACCTTGAGATTTAAAACTATCAACGTTTCAAAATTTTGATTCCAGTATTCCCAACTCCCATGTACCCAACCTGAGTATAATTGTTCTGATTTTTTTTTCTTTTTTTTTTTTTTTTTGAGATGGAATCTCATTCCATCACCCAGGCTGGAGTGCAATGGCACGACCTCAGCTCACTGCAGCCTCCACCTCCTGGGTTCAAGCAATTCTCCTGCCTCAGCCTCCCGAGTAGCTGGGACTACAGGTGCGTGCCACCACCCCCGGCTAATTTTTTGTATTTTTAGTAGAGACGGGGTTTCACCATGTTAGCCAGATGGTCTCGATCTCCTGATCTCGTGATCCTCCTGCCTTGGCCTCCCGAAGTGCTGGGATTACAGGCGTAAGCCACCGCGCCCGGCCAATTGTTCTGATTTTAATGCATAGGAGTTTGAACATCGGCACGTAGACACACAAACACACACACAAAGAGATTTTCAATATTTGTTGAGTTTTAAACATGGATTATTTTAATGAAAGTTTGATGTTAAAGATACTAAGCAATTTTAGAATGATAAATCAAAACTAATTTACATGTCTTAATTTTAAATGCAGCTATATAATTATATGCTATTAATTTGAAATATCCAGCAAATTAATGCCACCTTCAATGTATCTAATTAAATGATTAGGTAATAGCACTTTCTAAGTGATAATGTGGAAAGAGTATAGCAAATTGGATTAGCATTTGAGAAGAGACTGGTAACAATTATTGATCTGTTCAGCATACTACTTCAACAATGTAACCAGAGTTACATTGAAAAAACAAGTTAGGCAATAATTATTATCTTTAGCCTATACGCAAACAATTTAACTCATCAAATCCCTGCTTTAAAAAGGGTGATTTACTGAAGCTATATTAGATGAAGCATCCTCTCTTCCTGTCTGTTATAAATAATGTTGCTTTTTCACAGGTTTTTTTCTTCACTGACTTTTTTTATTCCTCTTCTACTTTTGATTAGATTGTCTTTTATTCTGTTATGTATAGTCAGCCCTTCATATTCCTGGCTTCTTCATCTGAGAATCCAACCAAACACAATAAAAATATTAGGAAAAAATAAAAATGAAAAAGAACAATACTACAATAAAAATAATACCAATAAAATCAATACCACATCATAACTATGTATATAGCATTTACATTGCATTTGGTATTATAAGTAATCCAGACATTCTTAAAGTAAATGGGAAGATTATGCAGTTTATATGCAAATACTATAGCATTTTATAAAAAGGACTTGAGCATCTGTGGATTTTGGTATCCACAAGAGTTCTGGAACTAATCCCACATGGGTACTGAGGGATGGCTATATCTTTCTCACTATTTAGCATCTGTTTATTCATAACGTCTGTTTCCTTATAAATGTATCTTACCTTGGTCCCTCATGGGATTAACTTTAGCATTTGTAGGGTTGGGGTGTTGTTTTTATTTTTTCCTATTCATTATCTTCTGTTCAGCTCCTATTACAAAACATCATTTTATTCGTGTTTCCCAGTTTACATTTATGAGCCCCAAAATGTAATTCTCCCAGCTGAACCTTCGCTTTCAGTTACACTATATATATATTTTTAGTGTACAGTTTGTTCTTCAATTACAGTTCAAGTTTGGTCTAAACAGCTTTATTCACAGTCATCATGGCATTGACTCCTCATGTAAGAGATTATGTATGCCTGGTGGGTTTAACTAAGGTTTTCACAGTGGAAATGGAGGAAAGTAGAGAGGACAACAGTAGTAATGATGTATCACTGGCAAAGTTTGCTGTTGGACTTAAAATGGGGAATTTATATATAGGATGTGTCAAGGATAAGCCTCAGTTTTCCTTCTTTCCAATTACCCCATAGATAGAAATCCATCCCATTTGCTGGAAACTCAGGCAGAAGACCAGATTTGAAATGGGAGGTTGAAACAAAAGGTTGTGTTGTAATTATTAAGTATATGATTCTATTAAACATCCAGATTAACCTGCCAAGCAGATATTCAAGTAAGAATTTCAGATATGTATTTGGTGTCAAGCATGTAAAATTATAATATATAATCATAGAAAGAAATACAAAAAGTACACTAGAATTTAAGAAGTGAAAAAGGAAGCCATAAGGGATGCCTAATTTCTATAAATGTCTATAAATTTTGAAACTTATAGAAAAGAAGCATACAGAACAAGAGATAAAGGCTAAATACTCATTGAATTCCTATGAAAGCCAAGAATGCAAGTAAGTTTTCTGGGTTTAAAACTTCTGGTCGGGCGTGGTGGCTCATGCCTGTAATCCCAGCATTTTGGGAGACAGAGACGGGTGGATCACCTGAGGTCAGGAGTTCAAGACCAGTCTGGCCAACATGACGAAACCCTATCTCTACAAAAAATACAAAATATTAGCCTGGTATGGTGGCAGGTGCCTGTAATCCCAGCTACTCAGGAGGCTGAGGCAGGAGAATCACTTGAACCCAGGAGGTGGAAGTTGCAGTGAGCGGAGATCATGCCATTGCACTCCAGAGTGAAACTACGTCTCAAAAAAAAAAAAAAAAAAAAAACTTCTGAAATTTACAATGCAAATTTTTATACAATATTTTTCATTAGAATTGGTAACATGGTGGTCATTGATGATCATTTACTAAGTAGATTTTGGAGTAGAAAGACGAAAATCAGATTATATCATGTTAAAAAGTGAACTAAAAGTAAGAAATAAGTAAACTAAAAGTAGAGATAACACAGGAATGCAATATGTCTAAATTTTTTTGCTGAAAAGGGGAGCAGAGATACAGGTTTATATGTGTTATAATGCTTTGGGCTGCTATTAACAAAAAGACCAACTAAAAGAAGCTTAAATATTAAGAAAACTTTAAAAAGCTTAAGTACTAAGGTTAACATTACTATGAAAACAGTAATCTCAGAAGGAAAGTGTCTGTAAATTGATAAATCAGTGGCTCAACTATTAGAAATTAGTTCTTACACTCTGTGCCCAGTTAATAACAGCATGTAAACTATTTTTTCTGTCTGCAGAAGGGATGTGGCAGCTTAAGAGTATACTGCAGCCTCATAGAACCAGATGTCTCCTGATTCTCTTTCAGAGAAGGAGGTAAATTTTTCCAGATCTCCTAGGGTAAACTTTCCCTTTTGTTCTATTGACTAGACCTGAATTATTTGTCAACTTCTAATCTGTCAAAAGAAAGAGAAGTGCTCTGATCGCCAGATTGTTTATTTATTTATTATTTTTCTTTGTAGGGCTGCCTGTTAATTGATAGCACACTGTGATGCCAAAAAAAAAATGCATACACTTGATTTTTCTATGAACTCACTCAAGGTTCTGGGGATATTTAGAGGGCAATTCCCTGCCATAATACAGTATATTTTAAAAAGGTAATACAGGTAATATTTTTGAAAATAAAAACAATTTCAGTTTTTAAATTGCCATGGAGAAAAATAAAACATTATTATGTGATAGACAGCTCCTAGAGTAGAAGACAGCGTTCGCTTTAGTTGGAATTGTTTGAAAGGCTTCACTAATGAGGTTGTGGCTCCCCCGACAATCCCAAGAATGAAAATAAAGGAAAATATTGAGTTCCTTCCGAAGAAATTTCAGGCACCTAGCTAGCCTTGAGAAATAAATGATCAAATTAATTAGCAAGAAGGTAACAGTAGCTCAAAACAATGGCCAAGGACTCAAAAGCACATTTTCTCACATCCGGACCTGCTTATTCACATTTATTGTTTCTTGAACAATAAATATATAATATTACAAGTAATGGTTATTGCTTTTTAATTATGGCATTAGCCACTAGTCAAAGCATCTTGGAAGATAATGGAAGTGCTATAATTTTAAATAATTTAAAATAAAAAATATGTATATGGAGACTGGGGGATAATGTTGTAAAGTAGAGTAGAAGAGAACAATAAACAGATAAATTTCTTCACTTTTCAGTCTGGAAACAAACCATATATTACTTAAATTTAATGAGTTAGTAGAAACGATGTTACATATGATATTTAAGGTCATTGAAATTACTAATAAAACAGCTGAAAATAATAATGTCACTTATATTAGTCGTTGGCAATGAAGCATTGTATGTTTCTGAGGAATTCTACTTTGAGGTAAATTTTGTGTCTTTCCCAACAGGACATTAAAAGACATTGCTGGCTGGGTGCGTTGGCTCTCACCTGTAATTGTAGCACTCTGGGAGGCCAAGGCAGGTGGATTGCTTGAGTCCGGGATTTTGAGACCAGCCTGGGCAAAACAGTGAAATCCCGTCTCTACTACAAAGAAAAAAAAAAAGTAGCCTGTCGTGGTGGCGGGCACCTGTAATCTGAGATACTCAGGAGGCTGAGGTGGGAGAATCACTTGAGCCCAGGGATTCGAGGCTGCAATGGGACAAGATCTCCCCACTGCACTGCAGCCTAGGTGACACAGTGAGACCCTGTCTCAAAAAAAAAAACAACAACAAAAAAGAGAAAGTGCTTAAAGTTGGTAATAAGAAAAAGAGGGCTGGGCGCAGTGGCTCACACCTGTAATCCCAACACTTTGGGAGGCCGAGGCAAGTGGATCACAAGGTTAGGATTTCAAGACCAGGCTGGCCAACATGGCGAAACCCTGTCTCTACTAAAAATACGAAAAATTAGCCGGGTATGGTGGCATGCACTTGTAATCCCAGCTACTTGGGAGGCTGAGGCAAGAGAATCACTTGAACCTGGGAGGTGGAGGTTGCAGTGAGCTGAGATCACACCATTGCACTCCAGCCTGGGCAACAGGAGTGCAACTGTGTCTCAAAAAAAAAAAAAAAAAAAAGAAGAAGAAAAAGAAGTGTTCATGTATTGAATCATGAGTGAGAAGATGGGTTTAAGGTATTAGAGAAGTAGACTTTGATTTTCCATTTTTTGCACTCATATTGTTTGAAATGGTTATGCAAAAATGTACAAACAAGGCACAGGCAAACAAAGGGAGCAGTGAAGAGAAAGAGAAGTATAATTTGTAGTAAATTAATTATAATTTAACTTACTACCTTTGAAGAGTTTAAATTGTTCTTTACCCTGATGGAAATACCCTTTTTATTTCCCCAAGAGTTGTTTGCATGTCCTGTGTGTGTATCTTGTGGATACAACTCTCTCAAACATCCTTAAACCTCTGGCTAGGCAAAGGTTGTCAGTTCATGGATACAAACAGGGATGAGAACATTAAAACTCTATCTTCTTTGCTGGCTTAAGCAACATCATTGCCAGAAATATAATTAAGTATCAACTTAATAAAGCAACATTTACCGTTTATACAAGAGAATAGAAGTTTCATATTTAAATCAGGCAAGGTGCTGCTGCTCCACATCTTCAGTGAAAATTAATTAATGCATAAATGTATGCTATATAATTTTTGCTGTAAGAACTTATACATTCTAACAAGTATTCTCTGTTAATAGGCTAAATATCCTAAGCTAAGAGTGAAATTATGTGAACCTGTATGTCTGATGATACTCATTATTTCCTCAGGTGGGCCTGAATAGGATTTCCAACAGGCATATTTTAATCTTAATAGCTTTGTTTTTTGTCTTAGAATCTTTCTCCTTATCATCATTACAATATAAATTTTTTAACATATATATGCACATTCCTTTGATCATTATATTTTAATAGAAATGTTTAATAGCTTTTGAACTTAGCTCAGATTTTCTTTGTCAAATGCAAGTTTATAACATCTTCTAAAGAAACTTTTTTTATTAGAGAGGAAGATCTTTTTTAAAAAGAAAGCATTAATAAATTTATTCATACTTCTCAAGGTCTTTTAGCATGTCTAAACATTATGTTTTGTGTAGGAAAAGCACACTCCACATCAAATAAAGAATTATCAATTGTGTTTTCTGCACGTTCATGTTATAAGGATCAAAAATGGTACTCTATTGGTTGTCTCAAATGCAAGAAAATCTAGCTAAATTTATTTTATGAAAATGCTATTCTTTTCATAAAGATTACAAAACAAATCCCAATCCTGGGATAAGGGAATCAGACACTTTAAACCAGAGCACTCTCAGTTATAACATTAGTGACAATCACACTTCATTTTGCAATAAAATATTCTGCAATGTCTAATAAACTATGCAAACTCGATTCAGATGAAACAGTCGTATTTCATTATTAACATTTTTCAGGATGCCTTCAGATAAATAGGCCCATGCAGGGACACTTGCAGCATATTTTTTATAAATATCCTTAGCAGTTGTCACTCGGAGTAGCTGACAATAAGTGCCCTGTTGAGTTATATTTTACAGTGCAGAGATAGCTAAAATTTTCAAATCAGAACTTAGTAATTATATTGTGCATCAAATCCATACTTTCAAAATTGACCAAACTGACTCAGGAAATGGTCAATTTTGTATTGGTATAACAGAATACCACAAACTAGGTAATTTACAAAGAAAAGATATTTTTTTCTCATAGTTCTGCAGGCTGGGAAGTTCAATATTAAGGTGCTGGCATCTGGTAAGGGCCTTCTTGTTGCATCATCCCGTGGTGGAAGATGTAAGAAAAAGACAGCATGAGAGAGTGAGAAGAAGGGATCAAAACTCATTCCTTTACGATAAACCCACTTCTGCAAAAACAGCATTAGTTCTTTCATGAGGGCAGAGCCTTCATGATCTATCACCTCTTAAATGTCTCACCTCTCAACACTATTTCCTTGGAAATTAAGTTTCCAGCACATGAACTTTGGAGGATACATTTAAACCATAGCATAGGTCAAAGAAGAAAAAAAAAATTAAGAGCAACCCCTCCAACCATGAGATACACACACACACACACACACACACACACACACACACACACACGGAGAGAGAGAGAGAGAAAGAGAGAGAGAGAGAGAATGATAATTTAGGAAGCAGTAGACAGGGAAGCAGTAGAGAGGGATACTTAGTACCTTCAACATTATTTGACTCTTGGAAAAACTTGTTCTCTGGCTGTATGGCTTCTTGTCAGTGCTGAAGTACTTTGTCAAGTGTGTATTATTACTTCCTACATTTTGGGTTTGTTTCTTCATTCCAATTAAATACTTTTTATTAAATTTGGCTTTTTCTATAGAGGTTTCATGTTGCTTTCATTCTCATTCTGGCTTAGTTTGTACAGAGATTGTTTTTCTTTTATCAATTTCAGCTATTTCCTAAAAAGTACCCTGAGAAATAGGCTAGGAGTATACATTACAGCAAATGGTACATTGAACTTTGTTGTTTTCCTAAGAATGCTCTTACTAACATTGTTAGCTCCCTTTCCCATTAAGAAACTTCACTTGCCTCTGATTGAAAATACCATAAAATCGTGGCATGGTGGATCATACCTGTAATCTCAGCTACTCTGGATGCTGAAGCAGGAGAATCACTTGAGTCCAGGAGTTTGAGACTGTAGTGAGCTATGATAATGCCACTGCACTCCAGCCTGAGTGACAGAGCTAGATCTCATTCCACACAAAAAAAATAGAAAAGGAAAGAGAGAAAGTTCTCACCTCTCAACACTATTTCATTGGAAATTAAGCTTCCAACACAAGAACTTTGCAGAATATAAGCCATGCTCCATGAAATGTAGCTTCCAAATACAGAAGCATGGCACCAAATTGAAGAAGGACGCTGAGAGCTAGGTCACACTTCTACAGATCTCAGCTAATGTACAGAAACCCCTAATTCTTTAATTATCAGCAGGATTATGGCTGGGCGTTGTGACTGACACCTTTAATCCAAGCACTTCGGAAGGCCAAGGTGGGAGGATCACTTGAGCTCAGGAGCTCAAGACAAGCCAGAGCAACATAATGAAACCTCATCTGTACTAAAACAGAAAAATTAAAAATAAAAAAAATTAGACAGGAGTGATGGCACATGCCTGTAGTCCCAGCTACTTGGGAAGCTGAGGTGAGAGGATGCTTGAGCCTGGGAGATCAAGGCTGCAGTGAATAGTGATCACATCACTGTTCTCTAGCCTGAGTGATAGAGCAAGATCCTGTATCCACAAAAAAAAAAAAAAAAAAAAAATCAGGATTTTACAGAAAAAGAATATCTTCCCTTCCAATTTCAAAGGTAGTCTTCTTTCACTATCTGTTGGTGCTTGGTACCAGGACCCCCCATGGATACTAAAATCCATGTATACTCAAGTCTGTAATGTAAAATGGCATCATATTTGCCTACACCATGCATATCACATCCTTCTGTACACTTTAAGTAATCTCTAGATTACTTATAATTCTTAATATAATGCCTACACTTCATTTCATTCATGTAAATTCAATGTAGTACTCCACATGCAGCAAATTCAAATTTTGCTTTTTGGAATTTTGTGGATATTTTTCTGAGTATATTTGACCCATGGTTGATTGAATCTATGGATACAGAACCCATGGGTAAGTAAGGTCCACCGTACTGGTATACATGGAGGAAATATATTATTTCCAGACAGTCAATCAGCTCTCTGTCAGGTAAAAAAAAATTAAAAAGTGATAGTAACAAACAATCTTTGGTCTATAGAGATTCAGTAGCAGGCCAGCAAACTTCTGGTATGGTGAAGTTTCTAAAGTCATGTTGCAAAGTGGTAGCTTATTTGATCACTGTTATTAAGCCTTTGTTTTGTTGTCCCCATTTTTTTCTAATTTGGTGGAAAGTCTAAGTTAAATATAGATGAAGAAGAAATTCAGAGGAAGAAATGACTCTAGCTCATCACTACCAACACAGAAAAGCAAAGAAATTCTTCAGAAGTATTTTTTAGCTCTTTTTGATATAAATAATCTTAAGTAGATGCATTATTATCATTGTCTAGTTTTGATTTTTTTTTTTTTGAGACAGAGTTTCACTCTTGTGGCCCCAGGCTGGAGTGCAATGGTGCAATCTTGGCTCACAGCAGCCTCCGCCTCCCAGATTCAAGCAATTCTCCTGCTTCAGCCTCCTGAGTAGCCAGGATTACAGGCGCCCATCACCACGCCCGGCTAATTTTTCATACTTTTTTTTAGTAGAGACGGTGTTTTGCCATGTTGGCCAGGCTGGTCTCGAACTCCTTGCTCAGGTGATCTGCCTGCTTCGGCCTCCCAAAATGTAGGACACTGTGCCTGGCTCATTGTCTATTTTTGATGTCCTTCTTTCCTGTATTTATTGAAATTAAATTTATTTTTCAAAAAGCCCATGATTTTCTGAACTTTTTAGGCATAGAAATGGAAATGCTGAAACCTTCCTCTGGTGTTTAAAGATATATGTGTTGCTCTATGGAGAAGCAACCAGGAACTACTCACACTCAAGTTAAAAAGTGATGTGCAGAAATGAAACATCCTCTGTTTTACTTTTCAGAACATTTGGCATGCTATATCACTCAAATGAGAATTCTTTCATTACATTCTCCATATTCTGTGAAGTAAAATTTAAAAAAAATTTTAAATATTCTTGTATTCACCTAAATTCAATTCAAATGCAATCTGTATCATATATTAGATTCAATAATCTCTCCAACAGTATTCTCACCCTCTCTCTTACTGCTATTGTTTGAATATTTTACCCTTCAAACCTCAAGTTAAAACTTGATCCCCAGTGTTGCAGGTGGTGCCTAATGGGAGTTGTTAATTGGAGTTGTTTGGGTCAGGGGGCTGATCTTTAATGAACGGTTTTGTATGTCATCAGAATAATGAGTTCTCTGCTCTATTAGTTCCTGCAATGGTTCCCCAGAGAGCTGGTGGCTAAAAAGAGCCTGGCACCTCCCTCCCTCTCTCTCTCGCATTCTCTCTCCATGTGATCTCAGCTGACACTGGCTCTCCTTCTCTTTCTTCCATGAGTGGAAGCAGCCTGAGGCCCTTGGCAACGTGCTTCTCGTATAGCCTGCAGAACCATAGGTCAATAAACATCTTTTTAAAATAGATTTCCCAGTCTCAGGTATCCCTTTATAGCAACACAAACACAAACATTGGCTATATTAAAATCACATTTTGTATCAAAGTCATTGCTATTATATTCATAGTTGCTGAGCATTTCATTGTTGTGAAATTCCTGTCTCAATTATAAAACTAGTCACAGTATTTCCTTTATGCATCCAGGACCACTGTTTCCCTCAGAGAATTCAATGGGTCACGTTAATTATAGTTTGTAAGTTGAAACATTGCCACAATTAACCTACAGCATTTGTAAAACATTGTCATCTAATAAAGAACAATTAAAGCAGTGAGTACAAATGCACTATTAAGTTTCATAAAGGTTTCATAGCAATAACACGTAGGTGAAGTACAAAGACCTACTAAGAAAGGAATTTTTCTGTATCTAATTTAAGATTAGTAACATTGATTTTCTCTGCTTACGGAAATAAATCCACATATGTAAATTATCCAAAAATATAATTCCCATCTCCCTAAACTAGTATCCTATTTTCTCTTAACATTTTAAATAATGTTGAGAAAAATTAATATCATATCAATAGAGAAATAATTACATAAAAGTCTTCTTTCCTTGTGCTATTTCAAAACTCATTGTAGTCTAGTGTCTTAGTCTGAGCTCTTGTAACAAAATGCTATAGACTGGGTGATATGGTTTGGCTGTGTCCCCACCCACAATCTCGTCTTGAATTGTAATCCGAATTGTAATCCACACATTCTGAGGGCAGGACCTCATGGGAGGTGATTAGATCATGGGTGTGGTTCCTCCATACTGTTCTCATGATAGTGAGTGAGTTCTCACAAGATCTGGTGGTTTTATAAGGGGCTTTTTCCCGCTTCGCTTGGCACTTCTCCTTCCCGCCACCATGTGAAGAATGAAGTGATTGCTTCCCCTCCCGCCATGATTTTAAGTTTCCTGAGGCCTCCCCAGCCCTGCAGAACTGTGAGTCAATTAAACTTCTTTCCTTTATAAGTTACCCAGTCTCAGGTATTTCTTCATAGCAGCATGAGGACAGACTAATACACTGGGTTACATAAACGATAGAAATTTATTTTTCACAGTTTTGGAGGCTGGGAAGTGAGGGAAAATAAGGTTTCTGGTGAGGGTATGTTTCTTGGTTCATAGTTGGTGGTCTTCTCAATGTGTCCTCACACGGTGGAAGGAGCAAGGGAGTACTCCCCTATTTCTTATTATAAAATCACTAATCTCACTCATGAGGTTACATTCACCCTTATGATTTCATCACCTCCTGAAGGCTTCAACTCCAAATCACATAGAATTAAGTTTCTAGGTATAAACTGGTGGATGGGGGTAGACACAAACATTCAGACTATGAGAGTATATTTGATGCACTTTATGTTCCCATCTGCAAATATAAATAAATACATGAACAAATAAATAAATAAATAGTGATTGTAACCAGGTAGGCAAAATACATTGCACATTTGGATATATTCCTTGAGTATTATAAAACACAGCTTATTAACGTATTTAAATCTTATTGAATGTTTTCCTATGAGTGTACATTTACTACCATTATGATAAGCCATGGCTAAAAATAATGTCTGGCCAGTTCTATGGTCTAGTACAATTTTTGTTTTTGTTTTGCTCATCTTTAAGCACGGCCTATTATTATTATTATTATTATTATTATTATTATGGTAAAAACACAACATGAGACATATCCCTTTCACAATTTTTAACTGCACAATACAGTATTGTTAACTATGAGAACAGCGCTGTACAGCAGACCTCTATAATTCATTCATCTTGCATAACTGAAACAACATATCTGTTGAACAGGAATTCCCAACCACCCATAGCACCAATCCCCTAGCAACTGCCATTCTACTCTTTGTTTCTATGAGTTTGACTATTTCAGATACCTCACATCAGTTAAATCATCTGCTATTTGTCTCAAGTGACCAGATTATTTCATTAGGATAATGCTTAGGTTCAATCATCTTGTCATATATGGCAGAATTTCCTTCTTCCTAAAGAATGAAAATATTTTATTATATGTACATACAAAATTTTCTCTTAAATTCATCCATGATGGATATTTGTTTTTTTTCCATAACTTGGCTATTGTGAATAATGCTGCAATCAACATGTGAGTGCAGGTATCTCTTTGAGATTCTTATTTCCATTCTTTTGGACATACACCCGGAAATGGCATTGCTGGATCACATAGTAGTTCTATTTTTTTTCTTTTGAGGAACCTCAATTCTGTTTTCCATGGTGGCTGTTGCATTTTAAATTTCCACCAGCAGTGTACAACACCTGAAATTTCATCTCGTTCTTGACAACACTTTTTTTGTTTTAGTTTTTATTATATTTACTATAATGCAATATATCCTTGTGGATTTGATTTCCTTTTCTTTCATGACTGGTAATATTGAGCATCTTTTCATATGCCTGCTGGCAATTTCTATGTCTTCTTTCAAGAAATGTCTACTCAAGTCCTTTGGCCATTTTTAATTGGGTTATTTTTCTTTTTGGCTATTGAGTTGTAGAAGTTCCTTATATTTTTGAATATTAAAATCTTATTAGATATATGACTTGCAAATATTTTCTTCCATTCTCTAGGTGGCCTTTACACTCTGTTTATTGTTTCCTTTGGATGCAGAACCTTTCCACTTTGATGTAGTTTCAATTGTCCAATTTTGCTTTTGTTGCTTCTGCTTTTGATGTCACATACAAAAAAATCATTGCCAAGACCAATGTCAAAGAGTTTTCTCCTCATGTTTTCTTTCAGGAGTTTTTCCATTTCAAGCTTTATGTTTGAGTCTTTAGTCCATTTTGGGTTGATTTTTGTGTGTGGTATAACAGTTTTCCCAGCACCATTTTTTAAAGAGACTATTCTTTCTCCATTTTGCATTCTTGGCAGCCTTGTTGAAGAACACTTGGCCATAAATGCATGTTACCATTTGGGGTCTTTTGTGCTTTGATATGAATTATAAAATTATTTCTATTTTTGTAAAAAAAAAGTGTCATTGGGATTTTGATAGGGATTGCATTGAATCTGTAGATAGCTTTGAATAGAGGATAAATTATAAGGCTGAGAATAAAGTAGAGTTTCAAAAAATATGGTAAGTTACAAGCTTTAAGCTTTTAGAATGCAATTTCATCCAGGTATCTCCAGCAAAGTGGTTCCCATCAGACAAGGGCAATTCAGCAGAGCAGGGTGAAGCTGTGAGCCATGGTCAGCTAATTCACAGTGCAGGAATATGCATGTGCAAGTCCAGTCAATATCAATGTCCATCTTGAACTAGTACAAAGGATAGGATTGCAACAATTATGTACAATCAGAGGTCTTAAGAAATAACAAATATATTTACTAATTTATAGGATGCAAGCAAACAAGAGGCCCAAGAGAAGAAGACAGTAATCCAGAAGAATCCACACAACTCTCCAGATAGTTTCCACATCACATACATGTCAGTTGCTGAAAATGCAAGACGCAGTCCCTAGATGAGGATTACAAAGATCTAACGGGAAGAACTGTAGGTTATGAAACACGTTTATTTTTTATCCATATATTTACACAATTCATGTAAAATTTTCCCAGGAACGGTGTCTTATACTAAGTTGGCGCAAAAGTAACTGTGGTTCTGCTGTTACTTTCAATGGCGAAACCTGCAATTACTTTTGCACCAACCTTAATTTATAGGTACTAGGTTCACTTATCATATGCAATTCTAAACTAGGGACACATGACCAAAAGCATCCCTTGCATAATGATTCATCTCTGAGCCATTCGTTTGTGTATCAGAACTTCTATTATTAACATACATGAAGATATGACTATGTCATCTGCTTTCTTTCTTTTTTAGTGAGAAAGGAATCACAGAGCAAATTAACTTCTTTGCAACCAACTGCACACCTAAAACAGAAGAGATACATCTATATATCTATCTATATCTATATCCATCAGCGGCAGAATGTGTAGCTAAACTCTGGTATTTCAGTACATTATAAAAGTAGCCAGCTATTGGAAATAAAAAGAACTTTGCACACAATCACATAGCTAAGTCTGTAAATTTGAACAAATGAAGTAAGAAAGTTCCAAAATGAAGGAAACAGAACTATACAGAATAGCAAAGAAATGAGTATCACAAAAGCCAGAGTTATGGCTACTTCTGAAAAGGAGAGTGTAAAAAATGATTAGAGATGAGTTCACAGACCCTCCCGGGGAACTGGCCACATTCTGTCTCTTGTTGGGTGATGCTGTAACACATTGTGGTTTAGAGTCATTTTTATCCTGAACATACATGTTTTTGCACTTTCTGTAAGTATATTCTCACAAGAAAACATAGTAAGCAAAATTCCTTCTGAAAAAGGAAAATTATAAGAGCCAAAAGCCTTCCAGGATGTTTGTTCCCTACTTCCTTCATCAACAATATTTCTTGGAGATTAACACTGTTAACAGGATTGTTGCACTTCCTTCAAAGCACCTTGAAAGTTTCACAACTTCATGAAGTTTCACAACTTAATGCTCCTCCTAAGGGAACTATTTTATTTTATTTTATTTTTAACTTTTATTTGAAATTCAGGGATGCATGTACAGGTTTGTTATATAAGTAAACTTGTGTCATGGGGGTTTATTGTACAGATTATTTCATCACCCAGGTATTAAGCCTGATACCCATTAGTTATATTTCCTGATCCTCTTGCTCCTCTCACTCTCCACCCTCCAACAGGTCCCAGTGTATGTTGTTTAAGGGAACTATATTAAATGATAACAAACACTACATAAATATGTCTTCTACATTTCTAGTTTTTAAAGTATCATTTTGTGCCTTAAATAATAACAGTAGCAAGCAAGCTCATAATGTTAAATGGTACTAGTATCTATCAACAGTGAGAAAACTACCTCACTTACAAGAAAGGGACATGACATTATTCTTAATCCAGGAACTTGTCTTCTTTTATTCCCCCTGAAATGTGCCTTTATTCTTTTTTACCATTTTAATAGGCTGAAATTATAAATGCAGAGTGAAATATGTAAGTCCAAGCATATCATTAATTTTGTGAAATAATATATTCAACTATAAGACATATATCTTCCTTGATCAGTAGGCTTATGACTGTTTAACAATATGAAGTTGATCACATTCAACATTCACTCACTTTCTTTAGTGAGAGAGCTTTAAAAGGTCAAATTCTAATTACATTGGAAAAAACAGCTGGCCCAACACCTCACAGCATTGTGTCTATTTTACTTTCAAAAATACTCATTTGAGGCTACAACCTTTCCCCCTTGAGTGTAAAAAAAAAATCTGGTGACAAAAAATTGTCTCACATTTTGTCACATTTCTAATGGATGAAAAAAAGTACTATTTCAGAAATAATATTGTTTTCTGAGAAAAAAATGCTTAACATCACTAATCATCAGCAAAATGTAAATAGAAACTACAATGAGACACCACCTCACACCAGTCAGAACAGCTCCAATTAAAAAGTCAAAACACAACACATGTTGGCAAGGCTGCAGAGAAAAGGGGACACTTGAGACACTGCTGGTGGGAATGTAAATTAGTTCAGTCACTGCGGAAAGCAGTTTGAAGATTTCTCAGAGAACTTAAAACACAAGTACCATTCAACCCAGCAATCTCATTACTGGGCATATACCCAAAGAAATATAAATCATTCTACTAAAAGACACATGCATGCGTATGTTCTTTGTAGCACTGTTCACAATAGCAAAGCCGTGGAATCAACTTAGGTTTCCATCAATGGTGGATTGAATAAAGAAAATGTGATGTACACACACACACACACACACACACACACACACCATGGAATACTATGCAGCCATAAAAAAGAATGAAATTTTGCCCTATGAACCAACACATGGACATAGCTGGAGGCCACTAGCCTAAGCAAATTAACACAGGAACAGAAAACCAAATGCTGCATATTCTCACTTATAAGTGGGGGCTAAACAACATGCACTCACGGACATGGAGATGGCAACAATAGACACTGGAGATGACTAGAGGGCAGAGGAGGGGTGTACAGGTAGAAAAACTAACTATTGAATACTACGCTCAGTACCTGGGGGCTGGATCAATCATACCCCAAACCTCAGCATCACGCAATATGCCCATGTCACAAACCTGGATGTGTACTCCCAGAACTTGAAGTTGAAAGTGTTAAAAAAAAAAAAAAAGAAAGAAAGAAAGAAAGAAAAACATCTTTTTCCCACAGTGTTTTACACTTTTTTTTTACACAGTGTCTCACACTGTACTTTTTTTTTTTTTTTTTTACAATGTCTTAGTTATGGCTGCTATACCAAATACTACAGACTGGGTGACTTAAAACAAGACTATTTTTCACAGTTCTGGAAAATGTGAAGATCAAGATGCCAGACGATTTTCTTCCTGGCTCTTGTCCTGGTTTGCAGACAGATGCCTTCTTGTATCCTCACATGGTGAAGAAAGAGATTATCTCTCACCTCTTTTTTTCATAAGGGCATTATTCCCCTTCATGAGAGCTCCAGCCTCAGAAACTTATTACCTACTGAAGGCTACATTTTGAAATACCAACATATTTGAAATTAAGGCTTCAATATATGAATTTTTGGAGGACACACTCATTCAGTACATAGCATATAATAACTTCTGTTATGGTTTCAGAAAAGAAATGAAAACTTACGGAATTCCAAATATACTGTTAAAAATTAGCTATTATAGGTATTTTTCACAATTAAATATTTTTACTTAAATTAGACTCAATGTTTCATCTGATAGTTTTAAGAGGAAGAAAACAGCATCCTTTACAATAACATTTTTTTGGAGTGGTCATTTTTTGATGGGTACAATTGCTTTAAAATAACTTTTTGTCAAAATTAAAAATAAATTTAGTAGCAGATCTCAAGAAGCCCTTTATATTTTTTATCTTTCTTTCAGGTTCTAAAAGGGTTTTTGTTGTTGTTTGTTTTGGTTTCTGTACAGTTGACCCTTGAACAACGCAAATTTGAAATACTTAAGTCCACTTACAGGAAGATTGTTTTCAACCAAACTGAAAATCGAAAATACAATCTTGGTAGGATATAAAGCCCACATATACAAAGAACTGACGTTTTATCCCTTCAGGGGACCCCGCAGTGAGTCCTGTGGAACCTGAGTATGCTCAGATTTTTGTATCTGTGGGCATTCCCGGAACCAATCCCCGGCATGAGCGACTGCAATTTTAAAATCACATTTAAAGATAAAACATTGATTTTATATTATGTTTCCATAATAGCACAACACTTCTGAGAGCAATCCTTAAGGGTAAAAAATTTTGACTTCACAGGAAAAACAAAAAAAACAAAATATTTGTGTGTTAGGCCATTCTTGCATTGCTATAAAGAAATATCCAAAGCTGGATAATTTATAAAGAAAAGAGGTTTAATTGGCTCATGGTTCTGCAGGCTGTACAGGAAACATGGCACCAGTATCTGCTTGGCTTCCGGCGAGGACACAGGAAGCGTAAAATCAGAGCTGAAGGTAAAGGGAGAGCCCAACCTCACAAGGCATGAGTGAGCGCAAGAGAGAGAGTGAGCAGGAGGTGCTACACGGTTTCAAATGACCAGAACTCACTATCGCAAGGACAGCGCCAAGCCACGAAGGACCCACTCCCATGACCCAAACACCTCCCACCAGGCGCCACCTCCAACATCAGGGATTACACTTCAACCTGTGATTCAGGGGACAAATATCCAAACAATAGCAATTGGCAACTTCATATTTAGAAATTACTGGCATTATTATCATCTAAATCTGTTTCACTTCTTGGAAAACCAGATGTATTTTACATAGGGAGAAAAAGTAATATGGGAAGTAGAAATCTCAATAAAGAATGGACTTCAGTTAACGTGAATGTATCAATATTTGTTAACTTTAACATATTTGCTATACTAATGGGAATGGTACTGATAGGATAAACTGGATATGAGGTATGTGGGAAATCTCTGTGCTGTCTTCTCACTTTTCTGTAAATCTAAAACAGTCTATTAAAAAATACCATTGGTGGTGGCTGTACCCCCAACTCAATCAATAAAGTCATTTAAAAATATGTAATATACATTGGGATTTAGCCATTGTGGTCTTTCTCCATTATAAGCCCTCTTACACCATGCAGAGACATACTGTACTTGATCTATTCTGAAGTGGTTGTTATCCAGGATATGGAGAGAACTTAAATAAATTTGTAGGTGGGGATATGCCTTCCAAGAATTTTTGGCCTGGAGGCAAGAGGGGAAAAATTAAAAGTCTCATCCCCCTAAAAAAAAATTGCTATGCACTTCTTAGTGTCATTTTGTGAATTAAATACAGCTTGTCTGATTTAAAAAAAAAATTAACAATTGATGTTGATATCTAGACTCATGAAAAATATAACATCGAAAAATTACTGTAACTATAAACCTGACAATTTTGTTTACCTTAAAGAATGCTATGGCTGATAGAAACAAAAAGTGTAACTAGCTAAGTAGATATACAAAATATTTTATTTTACCTATACTTCTGAATGTCAACTAACAGGTATTGCTATAGATGTTTTTACAAATGTTTGCCTAAAGATATTTTTGTACATTTTATAGTTCTCTTTTATTTGTAACCAAGTATCTTGTGCTTGTCAGCTCTATGATTTGATTTTTAAAAATATATTAAATTATGAATCCATAAATATGTAGAACAGAAAAATATATTAACTCACTTGATATGTGTAGGAAGACAACATTACTCTTAGTAAGACAAGTGCTTTTTGATAAAAAATAGGCAAGTATTGTGTAAGTGGGAAAGCTTTAAACAAATAAATTTATAGGAAATTAGAGTTTCCCAAAAGTTGGCATCAAAGAATAGAGTTTCAGGGCACTGAACCAGAGGGAATTTAGAGAACTGAGTTTTGGGTAGAGAGAGAATCCAGCAAGGTTATGGCAGGAAATAAGCACCATATCCCCCATGAGAAACCCCCTGTGTCAAGGAGCACCAGACAGAATTCTAAGATAGGACTTCCAATTTTGAGTCATGCCCTTTGCTACTCTGTGCAGAACTACGTCTGTGTAATTATGAATTTTCATTAAAACCCGCCATACTCAACAGCTGTGTGTTATGGATATGCTGTTTTAGGTATGGGAGGTAAAGAGACAGTGGCTTTACCAGGGGACTGGGACAGCAGCTGTAGCAGCAGAGAACAATTAGAACCCACAAGACAGTAGGCAAACAAGCCGCAGGATGGGTTTTGACAGAAGCAGCTGTTAAGTAAATTGTCTTCCAAGAGTTTCCACATTGCCTGGAAAATTTACAAGCTCAAATAGGGTGCAAAGAACATCAAGAACAGGGAATGTGTTAATCTGACTTCCCAGGCTTGGGAGGTCCTGGAAATTGTAATGTAATCATTGAAATAAAGGAAGACCCACGTGATTTGAAACTCACAGGTTAAAACTACAATATGAAAAATGCAATCTAGGCAACCTTCAATTATACAGACCTCATGGTGAGAGGTGACAGCGTGCTGGCAGTCCTCACAGCCCTCGCTAGCTCGCTCTGGGCGCCTCCTCTGCCTGGACTCCCACTTTGGCGGCACTTGAGGAGCCCCTCAGCCCACCGCTGCATTGTGGGAGCCCCTTTCCGGACCGGCCAAGGCCGGAGCCAGCTCCCTCAGCTTGCAGGGAGGTGTGGAGGGAGAGGCGCGAGCGGGAACCGGGGCTGCGCGCGGTGCTTGCGGGCCAGCTGGAGTTCCGGTGGGCGTGGGCTTGGCCGGCCCCGCACTCGGAGCAGCCGGCCGGCCCTGCCGGCCCCGGGCAATGATGGGCTTAGCACCCGGGCCAGCGGCTGCGGAGGGTGTACTGGGTCCCCCAGCAGTGCCAGCCCACCGGCGCTGCACTTGATTTCTCACCGGGCCTTAGCTGCCTTCCCGCCGGGCAGGGGGCAGGGCCTGGGACCTGCAGCCCGCCATGCCTGAGCCTCCCACCCCCTCCATGGGCTCCTGTGCGGCCGGGCCCGAGCCTCCCCGATGAGCGCCGCCCCCTGCTCCAAGGCGCCCAGTCCCATCGACCACCCAAGGGCTGAGGAGTGCGGGCGCACTGCGCGAGACTGGCAGGCAGCTCCACCTGCAGCCCCGTGCGGGATCCACCAGGTGAAGCCAGCTGGGCTCCTGAGTCTGGTGGGGCCTTGGAGAACCTTTATGTCTAGCTCAGGGATTGTAAATACACCAATGGGCACTCTGTATCTAGCTCAAGGTTTGTAAATACACCAATCAGCACCCTCTGTCTAGCTCAGGGTTTGTGAATGCACCAATCGACACTCTGTATCTAGCTATTCTGGTGGGGCCTTGGAGAACCTTTGTGTGGACACTCTGTATCTAGCTAATCTGGTGGGGATGTGGAGAACCTTTATGTCTAGCTCAGGGATTGTAAACGCACCAATCAGCGCCCTGTCAAAACAGACCGCTGGGCTCTACCAATCAGCAGGATGTGGGTGGGGCCAGATAAGAGAATAAAAGCAGGCTGCCCGAGCCAGCAGTTGCAACCCGTTAGGGTCCCCATCCACGATGTGGAAGCTTTGTTCTTTGGCTCTTTGCAATAAATCTTGCTACTGCTCACTGTTTGGGTCAGCATTGCTTTCATGAGCTGTAAGAGTCACCGCGAAGGTCTGCAGCTTCACTCCTGAAGCCAGCGAGACCACGAGCCCACCGGGAGGAAGGGACAACTCCAGACCCGCCGCCTTAAGAGCTGTGACACTCACCGCGAAGGTCTGCAGTTTCACTCCTGAGCCAGTGAGATTACGAACCCACCAGAAGGAAGAAACTCCGAACACATCCGAACATCAGAAAGCAACAATCTCCAGACGCACCACCTTAAGAGCTGTAACACTCACCACGAGGGTCCATGGCTTCATTCTTGAAGTCAGTGAGACCAAGAACCCACCAATTCCAGACACAATGGGACAAATAACAGTATATGATTAAACATGCAAGGATCATTATGAAAAACATCACTCACCATGCTTTTGGTTTGGAAGTTTACAGCTTCAACGTGTTTATTTCTTCACTCATAGTTCTTCCTCTCATTTTCCTGAAAGAGAAAAGAAAACTAATATTTATCATGCTTTATGATGACAGAAAGAACTAGGCATTGTTATTCATTCAAAGTGTGCTACGTTTTTCGTTTTTTTTGTGTAGACATTCATCTCATTAGTTAACAGAAATTTCCATTATTCACATTGTCCCAGTAAATCTTTTTTTGTCCTATATCTTTCAACACAGTCTCAGAAAACTTAGAGTAAATTATAAAAAGGATTATGATATATGTATACTATAATACATAGACAATTCATATGCAATAAGACATCTATTGGTCCAGATTTGGGAGGATCCTGTGGCCCACACCAAAGCAACAGGTATGATATTCAGACAACATTATTTCATTTTATTTGGGGGTGTGGATTTAGAATGCCTACAGCCTAGTATATTACATAATTCTACATTTGTTTGCTTCGTTTTCTCTATTTTGCATGTAGTTCCCCTAAAACATAAACAATGATTCTTAAAGCAATTCAGGCCAAGACTGGATTGGAATTCTTGCCAGCATAAGCACTCTGCACATATATTTAACTACTTTCTTCTTTCAACATTAGCTTAATACATTTCAGCTGCCTTGTAAATCACTTCCAGAAACTTATGTCAAATATAAATAACTCTACTTCCCACATAAGGATTTTTGTGTTTAAACAAGTATGCTTTATCCATTATAGCAAGGTCAAAAACAATTATGGAAAACAATCGATCAAAGTTACCATAAAAGTTTAAGGTTACCAAATGTGAAAATTCTGTGAAAAAATATAAATTATTGTGTATTTGCTGGAGGCCTGAGATTAAAGAAGTCTTCCATTTTAAGCCCACATCTTATTAAATAAGTACACTTTAGCCCATTTAACAATAAAATTTGTGACCTCCTTTGCAATAGGTAAAATCCAATTTCCTTTTCAGTCAAAGAAGTATTATACCAAATGTCTTTCTTCCCACTTGGTTGCTCTCTTTTATGACTCTGAGTTCATAAAGTAATTCCCTAGCCTGAGAAGAAAATAAACAAGTAAATGACGGCACTTAAGGAGCCCTAGGCATTGCACCTAGGATAATCTGCAATCTAACGTTTACCAAGCAATAGTAAGTTACAAAACATTTGCGCAACTTGCTCCTGGAGGGAGTTGAGAGCTAATTTGAATCCACTTTGTCTCATAAAGGAAACATCGTGTTCATAAAACCACAGAAACATTAGAAAAACAGCTGTTTCCCTTCAAAATAGAGCAGCCACATCAGGTATAAATTTCACCAAGGGTATGGCTTAATCAAATATTCCATATTATACAAAATACAATCCAATCTGAAGTTTCAAAACAAACAAATCATTATTTATATTTTCCTATCACAATAAAACTTATTACATGTTCTCAAAAAAATGCCATTTTTAAGTTACTTACTTTGAAAGTGAAAGCTCACTTATCTAATATTATAAAATTTAAAATATAATTAAAAATTGATTAGGAGACAATGAAAATATATCAGTAAAAATAGCTGACAATAAATTTACAACCCCCTCAAAAAATTACTATCTTAGAAATTTTAGTTCGGAATTTCTTCTGTCGACTTATGTAAAGGTTGGAATTAACTAAAAGAAAAGGTGCCTGTTTCTCTATGTATTTTCAGTATTAATAAAACCACAAATGAATGTATATATTTTTTATTAAAGGTAAAGGAAATAGAGTGTCAAATTATACAGTTGATTTTATATGTTATTTGTTATCGTGATTCAGCAAATAAGAAATTAATGCTTGGGAATGACTGTGTAAACAAACAAAAATTAACTAAATGCTGAAGCAGGTTATTAATTGAGAAATTCACAGTACATTAATAATGGCTGGCTCCGTTGTCAAATATTGAAAATATGTTTGGTGAGATAACTTACTCAAGCCTGATTTTGACAGACCAATAAAAGTATATAAATTAGGAAATGCTTGCATATAGCTATCTGGATTAAAAGGAAGAACAAAAAGGCTATCAAGAGAAAGAATAAAAAGAACATTCAAATAGATATTGTTACTACTAAACCTTGTCATTCTTAAAGATTGTAGCAAAATACATTCATTCTCGACTTTTACCTATCTAAGTAAGCAACAAATATTGCCACCTTCATTTTCAAAACAGATATGAAATCCAGTGATTTCTTAGGTCTTCCCTTATCACTACTTTACTGTAAGCCATTGTCTTTTCTCAACAGGATTGCTGCAGTGCTCTTCAAATGAACTCTCTATCCCTTCCCTTACTTGTTCATATACTACTCTCAATGCAGTCGCCCAATTTGTTTTTTTAAAACATAAGTCAAATTGCCATTTCAGAAACTTCCATTATCTCTCCTTTTCACTTAGATTGAAGTAAAGCACTTAGTGTGGGCCACAGGATCCTCCCGAATCTGGACCACCACTACTTCTCCGATCTCAAATCCTACCCTTTGGCTAATTTAATCCACAATAACCATCTGCGGTCCTGGCAAACATGGCGTGCTTTTCCCTCAGAGAGTCTCCACTTGCTGTTCCCTCTTCCTGGAAGGTTCTTTCCCAGGATATTTATGTGGCTTGCTTTCTAACATCTTTCAAGTTTAAATATCATCTTTTCCACGATGTTCATTCTACCACCTATTTAAAATGCAATTCCATCCATCAACACCTAGGAATTTCTGCTTTATTTTTCTTCGTAGCATTTCACAACACGTCAGTGCACTTCCATGCACTTTCCTGTTAATGAACGTGAATAGTTAGAGGTAGAATTTCAACAAGCACACCTTGTGACTCACTCTCCTTGGGGGGAGGACAAGAAAGGGATGCTACTATGACAAGGGGCAGGAAGCCCAGCAGCCCCTGCGGAAAGGCAAGACAGATGCGGCTTCGAAGCCAAGAAGTCCCCAAAACTGAATAAAGAGTATCAAAAATGAGAAACATGCTATTTGCTATTCAACATAGACCTTTGATTGAGCAAACATTAGAAGCTCCTCTGGTGGAAATTAAGTGGGCAGCTATTCTTAAAGAGAGTAAACACAAAGCCAGCTTGCTGTAGCATGAAGTCACTCTCTCCCTCGGTACCCTCTGATCGCTCCCTTTCCTCTGCATGGATCTCAGCTGCTTTAAAAAGAAAGGAGATTAGGCATGTTAAGATTAGCCTGAAGCTGCCTCCTTACATACTTTAAGTTCAGACTAAAGGTTTCTTTCTACATAGAAAACTGTAACCTAATAGGATGTGTAAGCAGACTGTAATCTACTCTTGTACCAATCAGTTTCAGGCAATCACAGACTGGCTAACTGTATAAACTGTGTTCAGATAAGGCAAATTCAGAGCTGTAACCAAATCCAGCTGTTTTCTGCACCTCTCTTCCCTTTTCTGTATGTCACTTTTCTTTTTCTGTCCATAAATATTATCTGACCACTTGACAGCCCCAGAGTCATGCTGAGCCTATTCTGGCTACTGGATTTGTGAATCGTACTTTGCTCAATTAAATTCCATTAAATTGAATTTATCTTAAGTTTTCCTTTCAACAATCAGTAGCCAAGATCTCCCTGTCCCTAAAGAACACTGAGAGCCATAGGCACCCTCTGGTTATATGTATGGGAACTTTGAAAAGGCAGGGATTCCAACTTTTATGTGTCTCTTGGATTCAGGTTATGTATTCACCTTCCTACCAGGTCTCAGGAGAAAAGAGAATGTTAGGAACAGACTAGCAAAAGCATTGAGGACTGCAGAACAACGCTGCAGTAGTCTGTGAAAGCAGAGATAAAAGGCCAAAGAGGGGAAAAAAATGTTTCCTTCCCATTATTTCTCTCAGGCCTTTGACATCCTTCTTCCTGCACTGCTCAGCATCCTGGCCATGGGATAACATGTTGCTGCAGAGTCAATTCATGCATATGTTAAACAACTTGGTCAGTGTTCACATTTTGGGGGCAAATGTTACCAAATTCAATTAATACAATTTTTACTAGTGAAGAGAAGTCAAAATGGTCTTCTTGATGGGGACCGGGGAACATTAGTACTTTAGTGTATGTCATTGCTGGGGGTGTCATTGTTACATTGTTACACTTTTACATTGTTGTATTTCCCATCCATTATGTGTAAGAGACAATAAATTCTTTCAATTCAAGGAATGCCACATCTAAGCATGTAGAGAAGCAATCTCTGTCCCCTCCGGATCGGTCCAGCAGAAACAACGCAGAATCCAGGTAGAAGAAAGAACTCAGCTCTAGTTAAAAAAACTAACTGCTGCCCAAACTCAGAGAAACCATTTCCCAGCTGAGTAGCGCCACCTGCCGGACTCTGCCCCCAAGTGCACAATGTTAAAAACAAACCAAAAAGGGCCGCTGGTCAGCGGCTTTCCTAACAATGAATTCCTGACTCACAGAGCCCATTTAGTCACGAGTCAATTCCTATTCAACAACTAACAAAGAAAGGGCCCCGTGATCCTCTCTGGAAAATGGAAATGCTGTATTCAAGAGCACACTATATTGTGGCCCTAGCGTCATCTCAGTTTTACATAAAAAAGTGTCAGTTGACATCTTTGGGGAAACTTGGCCCCTCACTCCACTTTCTGAAGCAAAACCTTTGGCTCCATGGGGCCCTCCATCTACAGTTGCTTTTAAATGACTGGGCCTGGGAACTGATTCTGCTCGACCAGCCTGGAGGGGACGGAGATCATCTCTTTACATGCCTAGATGTGGCATTCCCTGAATTGGGAGAATTTATTGTCTCTTATACATAATGGATGGGAAACGCAACAATGTAAACCTCATAACAATGACACCCCCAGCCATGACACACACAAAAGTACTTTCAATATGCCTCGGTCCCCACCAAGAAGATCCGCTCTTGTTATGCCAAGAGCTGCTGGTGTCATGCGGGTGGTAGCAGCAATCCAGCCCCAGCAATAGCTCTGGAAGGCTGCCTGTGCCTAAAGCCAGTGAGCACAGCGGGATGAGTTAGAAGTCCTTGCCTCAGGCAAGGCTCCTGAGGAGCTGGAAGGTTAGATTACTAACACATGGAGCCGTGTTCAATGACACAGCCATCCCGTCTACCACTTGGAAGCCCACAGACTACCAGTTTACAGTTCGCCATGGTGAGGACTGAGCAGCCTGGGTCTCTCACACAGGTGCTCACAGTGGGGGCAGATGAAACTCTTCTCTAATGACACCAGCTGGAGCCAATGTGATCGAGCTTGTGCTGTCCATTTTGCTATAATTGCTTCCCACATCCACCATCAAAATGGATGCACCAGCACCTCCCCCTCACAGACGGGGCACAAAGGAAAGGTCTTTTATGTTTCTGATGCAAAAGCCACCACTGTGTGGCCGACTTGTGGCTCCTGCAAAATGTTAGCCTGTTTGTCTTACGGTAAGAGAGGCCATATCGCATGGGCATTGTTTTCACCCATGGCTGCTGAGGACATCAGATCTGACTACATCAGCTCTTTGACAGCTTTTTGGGTCTGGTCATTGTCCATACTTTCCAGCTAATGGTTTTCTGTTCTAATCCTATCCTTCAACTCTTGCAGCAATACTGTAGCCCTTAACTAAACTCTTTCATGTTTTCTGCTTTCCAGATCATAAACCATCTGAAAATGGTGCACAATTTGTCAAAAGTCTACTCAACAATGGAACAATAATCAAGGTATTTGGTGGACATGTCACATGCCCTACTGTCCATGGGCATTTGATCTTGTTGAGCAATGAAAGAAATCCCTCAGAAATTGACTCAAAATATTTCTGTTTTCCCTTTCTCACACTCTCCTGGGCCACACACTTTATAATAAAGCAGGTGGTCACTGAATGTGACTGTCCTTACAAAGAGGAGAACTTCTCTTGGTTGCTTTCTGGGTAATAATTCCAGTAAAGGATTATCTAGAACATTTTGAAGATTCAGTATTTTTTCCTACCATTCCTGGGCATAATACTTTTTGCTTTCCCCTAACCTCAACCTCAGGCAAACTTGGTAGGTGCACCCTCCAGGTGACAGCTCAGATAAAAGGGGTCTTGGAGGATTGAAACTAAATTCTGGAATGTTAGGATGACTTGACATAGATCAAATAAACAATGACTACCTGAGTGACTCACTAATCTCTGTAGCCCCCTATACTGTCCCTTGTAAGTCAAGGTAGGGGATTACATGGGTGTCTGGAAATTTTTTTAAAATGTCTTATCCCATTATATCTGATTCTTAAGATCTCAATGTGAATAGGGATGACTGTAGAAAAGATGATGTTATAGCTGCTGGAATGGAATACACCATTTTTGGAGAGAAAAGATGATGTTATAGCTGCTGGAATGGAATACACCATTTTTGGAGCTATGGAGGGAGAGCCAGAACCCTGGTGTCAGGAGAAGAAACATGTTAGTCCCCAAAATATGCAAAAAAGAGGATGCAATTCGTGTTCTCCTTGCCAGATGGATGCAGCACCATTTCAGCACCATGCCATGACAAAACAATCCTGTGGTCCTCCTTAGCCAGGCAGCAGCTGCAGCTGGCAACCTCACCCCCTATCAGACTTGTCATTGCCGTCCATGTGCTAGAAAAACACAAAAGTACTTTTGGACAGGCCATCAGTACCCTGCTGTACCTGATGCCTTCTCAGAGGCAGCTCCTGGGTGTGGACTCCCTCATATGTTTTCAAACACTTGGACTGACCCAACTTTGTTTGCATCCGTCTCACTGATGCAAAGACATCTGCTTCTTCTAAGGCTCACTTGGCCTTGAATTGTGCCAGGTATGGCATTCAAGGCTAATTGGTGACACTGCCCATGTGACTTGACCAAACCAATGCAACAGGGGTTCAAATCAAGTTTAACAGCAAGTCTCAAACTGGAGTGAGCCATGCCTTTTTGGGTTATATGTTTGTATATAGAGCGAGGGGGGCAAGGGCAGTGTTCACTGGGGATGGGAGCTGCTTGTTGGCTCGTCTTTTGTCCCTTGTAATTATTGATATTGTTGGCAAATATATCAAGATCCGGAGATTACTCTAAACTCCCTCCTTGGGTCACAATGAGTAGACTGGCCTCAATCTATATCTTGATTATCTGGAGTAGGACCTACTGTTACCCCTGGGACTTATAATAGTTGAGTGGGAATGTGTGGGCAGGAGAAGAGGTATGTATAACTGAGGCGAGTGCTGCTGCTTGTAATCCTGTTGATAGTAGACTTAATTAAATTCAGTATGAAACAAACTGGTCCCAGGCTTCGCATGCTGCTCTGACCTGAGAGGTTGAGGCATTATCATTACTATTCCCATGTTGCTAATATGTAAATGTACGTGTGTGTGTGTGTGTGTGTGTGTGTGTGTGTGTGCTGTTTTTACTTACATGCTTGTAGGATTCTCTTTTTTTCCTTGAATTTTCAAAATCACAGTATTTATTACATCGCTTTAGGATATTTTCTCCTACATTAACAAATATTTTCCTCTCCAAATTCAGGCATCTAAGTTTTCTGTTATAAAATTTGAGTTTTGTTCCAGTCCCAATTTGTCTGCCCCTTTCTTGCGGAATCTCTTGATCCACTTTGTACACTTAGAGTTACCATGATGCACCATGTAATGACAGTTTGGTCCATCTGTGTTATTGCCCCTGAAGACCTCTAGTGGGACAAGATGTGCTGGTGAAAGATGGTGATATTGATCATCCTGGTCTAGGCTAATGTGCATATTCATGTCTTAGTTTTTAACAGAAAAGTTTAATAAGTAAAAGGAAATCAAATAGAAAGAAGCGTATAGAATAAGAGTACAAAAAATACTATGCATCTCTTCAATGTGTTGGTGTTTTAAGCTGTGTCACTGCAAAAAAGAGAGAAAAAGTGTTTAAAAATAAAAACTTTCAAATTTAAAAGTTACAATAAGCTAGGGCTAACTTATTATGGAAGAAAAAAATATTTAAAAAAAATTTAGTATCGCCCAAGTACAGTGTTTATAAAGTCTATGGTAGTGTAATCTAGACCTTCACTTTCACTCATCACTCAGTTGCTGATTCACCGAGACAACTTCTTGCAAGCTCCATTTGTACAAAATGCCCTGTTCAGGTGCATTTTAAAAAATCTCTTATGTCTTATTTGTACTGTACTCTTTCTATGTTTAGATAAACAAATACTAACCATTTTGTTACAACTGCCTACAGTGTTCAGTACAGTAACACGTTGTCCATATTTGTAGCCTAGGACCCTAAGTGTGTAGTAGGTTAGATCTAGGTTAGGATCTCAGTGTGAATAGGGATGACTGTAGAAAAGATGGTGTTATAGCTGCTGGGATGGAACACACGAGTTTTGGAGCCGTGGAGGGAGAGCCAAAACCCTGGTGTCAGGCTTGTGCAAGTACATTCTGATGTTTGCACAACAACAAAATTGCCTAACAACACATTTCTCAAAATGTATCTCTAAGGGACAGATGACTGAACTTATTTTATTATTTTTCTCTTTTTTTCTATAGTTCTGCACAGAGTAGGAAACCTTTGAGTTTGAACTCAATGCCTGCCACTAACTTACATTTCTTCAATATTAACTTGTATTCTTACTACTCTTGACCCAGATTTAAATCTACTATTACATTTAGCTTTTATTAACGTATATAATATATCTCATAGGTTTTGGGGGATGGTTAAATAATTAATAGATCTAAAAGTATTTTAATGGTAACTATTATAATTTTCATCATTAATGGTACTTTTAAATTTCTATTTTATATTACAAATTCTTCCCGTGTGTATATCTTTCACTCAGTAAATGAATTCATACTTCCAATTTTTTTTCTTGTTTTTGCAATACACATTTACTTGATTTTGATAGTAAGGAAAAAAGGAAAGGCTTTGAAAGTTCTATTTGTCATCCTTTAAATGATCTTTCTCTGCAGTAAAAATCCTGGCTTCACTTTAATCTACTTTGTTATCTGTATTATGTTTTATGATCTGAAATCAATATGTTTCTCTTTCTAGAATAAAAGAAAAACAGGTCAAGTGTGGTATTTGTGTATGAACCATGTTTGTGGAGTCAAGTGCATTAACTACAGAGGACATCTATTTATCATTTAGATTTCAAATTGGACCCAATCTTTCCAGAAAAACCTAACTGACTCACTCAAATGAGACGTCTGCCCCTAATAAATGCTTTTGTAACATTGTGTTTGCACCCCTGGAACCTTCCTGATGGGCTATTGGAATTGTTTGATTGCTCACATTCTATACTAGGAATTATGCTGGGAGGACAAGAACTGTGTTTTGTGCAACATTCTATCCCCGTGCCCAGCACATGGACTGGGGTTTTGTGAGCCCTCAGTGCACATTGTGAAAATGAATGGAACTGATTTGAATGGAATGACATTTGTTTGATGCAGCAGCTGAGAGGGCTGAGGAGAAAGTCTTAGATAAGGGCAATCTGAGCAGAGAAATTTTACATCATTGTCATCGTGTGTTTGGTAAGGGTGTAGTGATGAGACCAGATTTCCCCTGGAAGTTTTGTTTGACCTGACCTCTGCACAGGAAGACTGGAACACACTCCACACTTCAGAGTGCATGTTCCTCTCTGCCTTTAGGTGGACCTCACCTTTAGCCTGCCTTCACTCCTGCAGATAGCGGGTTCGGGAGGTGATGCCATGATCTCATTTATTTCGAACTTTATGGACGTTGTTGTTTCCGGTGTTACTTAACTCTTCCCTATCTTCCTCTATCAAAGTAACCAATACAACAACCCAGATCCTTCCATGTCGCACATCTTTTCTCATTATTAATACATATCAGATACAAATAATTTTATGAATACATGGACTTTGACATTTTCTGATTTATAAAAATTCTAATAATAATCATATTGTAGGCACATATCCCTATGTGGCTTTTATCATTTAAAAATACATTGCGTTTGTAAATTCTGTTCTTTTTCATGCTTGCAAACTGGCCAATTCTTTTTTGTGCTTATTTTTCTTGTTCCTTGACAATAGATCCAATAGGAATTAGTCCACACTACTCATATCCCACTTTCCACCCTGTCTCTAAAGCTGCAAAGCAATAGAGAGGGGCAATAAAAAGTTAATAAATATAATATGATTGACACCACCAGCAATAGTTCACATTAATCTCTACTGTCTATTCTGTACCAATGATCTTTTGGTTAATGTTAGTATCATAGAACTCATTGTTCTATATTTACTATTTGCTAAGGCAAATATTTTTCATCATATTTTGTTGTGTATTATTTTGACAATCTTTCAATATGTCATCCATATGAAATGTTAAATTATTAATTAATTTACAATGTGATATGCTAAGTAGAATAGGAGCAAATGGATTTACTGATGTTAATGTGTTTACCGATTTATATAGTTTGGATATTTGTCCCTGCCCAAGTCTCATGTTGAATTGTGATTCCCAATGCTAGAGGTGGGGCCTGGTGAGAGGTGACTGGATCATGGGGGCAAATTCCTCATGGTTTGGTGCTTTCTTTGCAATAGTGAGTGAGTTCTTGCAATATCTGATCATTTAAAAGTGTGCGGCACCTCTTCCCTACTCTCTCTCTCTCGCTCTTGCTTTTATCATGCAGTGTTCCCGCTTTTGCATTGCCTTCTACCATGACCTCCTTAGAAGTGGAGCAGATGCTGGCACCATGCTTCCTGTACAGCCTGCAGAACCATGAGCCAATTAAACCTCTTTTCTTATAAATTACCCAGTCTCAGGTATTTATTTATAGCAATGCAAGAATGGCCTAACACACCAATTATTTACTATTTTACATACATTAAACATTTCCTTCAAAAAATATGGTATGGATTTTCACTTGCTCAGGTCTTCAGTGAAGACTTTCCATCAGATTCAATACCTTTTTAAAAGTTCAGTACCTTACATGGATAAAACTAGAGGACTTTATGCTAAGTGAAATAGGCCTGGCACTGAAAGTCAAACTTGGCATGTTCTCACTCATTCTTGGAAGCCAAAAAAAAAAAAAAAAAAAAAAAAAAAAATATATATATATATATATATATATATATATATATATATATATATTGAACTCATGGAGATACAGAATAGAATGATAGCAGAAACTGGGCAGAATAGTGGGTAGGGGGAGTGGGGATGGTCAGTCAGTACAAAAATACAGTTAAAATAATAAGATCTAGTATTTGATAACACAACAAGGTGATGGCAGTCATCAATAATTTACTGTACATTTTAAAATAACTAAAAAAGTATAATTGGAATGTTTATAACAACAAGAAATGATAAATGCTTGAGGTGATGAATACATCATTGACTCTGATGTGATAATTACACACCGTATGACTGTATCAAAATATCTCATGTATCCCATAAATATATACACCTATTGTGTGCCCATACAAATTAAAAATTAAAATTAAATCAAGTCCAGTACCTTTATTACTAAATTTAACTCTAAATATTTTGGAAATTATTTGTAATTTTAGGGTGTGATTCTTTTTCCATTTCATATGGCATGGTCATCTTCAATACAAAAAATTGTAGTGTATGTATATTTGACTGTATTTTTCATTCATCCTACAAAATACAAATAAAAATTATAATCTTTTAGAGTAGTTTAACAGAAAATGGATATTCCGAAAAGCAAATTAACTTATCATCAACAATAAATGATTGTATCTTTTATATTTGAGCGTTTTTTAAACCACTTATTTTTAATTTTTTTAATTTTTAATTTTTCTGGGTACATAGTAGGTGTACATATTTGTGGAGCTCAGGAGATGTTTTGATATGCCATGCAATGTGAAAAACCACCTATTTTATTTTACCATCTTATTTCAGTCAAAAAAAATTTCCAAAGAAATCATAAAAAATTATAACCTAACAAATTATAGGTTTTCCCTGATTTACACAAAAATTAGTATTTGAATTTTAGTATTGTGCTATATAGGGTTTTTCTCAACAAATATTTCCTTTCTTTTCCATGGGATGGCATGTACTTTCCTGATCCTTTGACTTTGTCTTGGCAATGAGATGTGATTAGATACAATTCAAGCAGAGTCTTTCAATTGGATTGCGTGGCAGTCTGCCTTGCCCTCTTGCATGTGTGGGCAAGAATACACTGCCCCTTTAACTGGGCTGAGTGCACGTGTTGTAGACCTGAATCCAATCCATAGTCTAAAGCAGAGCCACCAGGCTGACCACCAGACAAGACGCACTAAACTGCAATTAGGCCTCATATCTGTGAGTGGGTATACAAGTCAGGATTCTTGAGAGAAACAGAACCAATGGGATATCTGTCTGTCTATCTATGTATCTATCTGTCTCTATCTATCTCTGTCTATCTCTATCATCTATCTCTCTATCTATCTATCTATTTATCTATCTATCATCTACCTCTCTGTATTTACGTATCTATGTATCTATCTACCTATCATCTCTATCATCTACCTATCTCTGTGTATGTATGTATGTATCAATCTATCTACATATCTCTCTATATATTTTTTCTCATAGTTTATTGTATAGCATTAGAAATAGATATAATAGATATTAGAACTAGATAGATAGGCATATAGAGACATAGACATCAGAAAGACAGAGAGAGGTATCTAGGTATAAAGATAAATTTATTTTAAGGAATTGACGTATGAATTGGCATATGAGATTGTGAAGGCTGGCAAGTCCGAAATGTGTAGCACAGGCCAGCAGGCTGGAAAATCAGATGGGACTTCTATTGTAGCTGTAAGGCATATTCCTTCTTTGGGAAACCTCAGTCTTTGCTCCTACAAGTGCACAGTAACCAAAGCAGCATGGTACTGGTACCAAAACAGAGATATAGACAATTGGAACACAACAGAGCCCTCAGAAATAATACCACACATCTACAACCATCTGATCTTTGAAAAAACTGACAAAAACAAGAAATGGGGAAATGATTCCCTATTTAATAAATGGTGCTGGGAAAACTGGCTAGCCACATGTAGAAAGCTGAAACTGGATCCCTTCCTTATACCTTATATAAAAATTAATTCAAGATGGATTAAAGACTTAAATGTTAGACCTAAAACCATAAAAACACTAGAAGAAAACCTAGGCATTACCATTCAGGACATAGGCATGGGCAAGGACTTCATGTCTAAAACACCAAAAGCAATGGCAACAAAAGCCAAAATTGACAAATGGGATCTAATTAAAGAGCTTCTGCACAGCAAAAGAAACTACCATCAGAGTGAACAGGCAACCTACAGAATGGGAGAAAATTTTTAAAATCTACCCATCTGACAAATGGCTAATATCCAGAATCTACAAAGAACTTAAACAAATTTACAAGAAAAAATCAAACAACCCCATCAAAAGGTGGGCGAAGTATATGAACAGACACTTCTCAAAAGAAGACATTTATGCAGCCAACAGACTCATGAAAAAATGCTCATCATCCCTGGCCATCAGAGAAATGCAAATCGAAACCACAACGAGATACCATCTCACTCCAGTTAGAATGGTGATCACTAGCAAGTTAGGAAACAACAGGTGCTGGAGAGGATGTGGAGAAACAGGAACACTTTTACACTGTTGGTGGGACTGTAAACTAGTTCAACCATTGTGGAAGACAGTGTGGCGATTCCTCAAGGATCTAGAACTAGAAATACCATTTGGCCCAGCCATCTCATTACTGGGTATATACCCAAAGGATTATAAATCATGCTGCTATAAAGACACATGCACTCGTATGTTTATTGTGGCACTATTCACAATAGCAAAGACTTGGAACCAACCTAAATGTCCATCAATGATAGATTGGATTAAGAAAACGTGGCACATATATACCATGGAATACTATGCAGCCATAAAAAAAGATGAGTTCATGTCCTTTGTAGGGACATGGATGAAGCTGGAAACCATCATTCTGAGCAAACTATCGCAAGGACAAAAAACCAAACACTGCATGTTCTCACTCATAGGTGGGAATTGAACAATGAGAACACTTGGACACAGGATGGGGGAACATCACACACCGGAGTCTGTCGTGGGGTGGGGGGAGGGGAGAGGGATAGCATTAGGAGATATACCTAATGTAAATGATGAGTTAATTGGTGCAGCACACCAACATGGCACAGGTATAAATATGTAACAAACCTGCAAGTTGTGCACATGTACCCTAGAACTTACAGTATAATAAAAAAAAAAAAAGACAAAAGTCTTCCAATAATTGGATAAGGCCCACCTACATTATAGAGGACAATCTGCTTTACTCAAAGTCAGCTGATGGTTGTAAATGTTAATCACATCAACAAATAACTTCACAGCAAACCTAAACTCATGTTGACCAAATTAACCATGGTCTAGCATGTTAATACATAAAATTAACCATCACAACAGCAAAATAAATATGGTTGGTGAAAGCCACTGATGTTTGGAACAGGTTTTAATGAAGCATTATTGTTGCATTAAGAGCTTAATTTAAATGTTTAGATTTATAATATGCGATATATTTCTTCTATTTAATTAAGATTTCTATTAAGAATGACTCCTGGACTTTGGTAAGCTCCCTTTAAGCATCTATTAATGAATCACAATTTTTTTTACCCATTAATTTGATGATATAACATTTTAATTTTTATACATGACTCTAACCTTCCATCAAAAAACTCAGATTGTAATTATTCTGACAGTCTACTGACATCATTTGGTAACAATTTATTTCAAATTTTGATACATATCTATAAGTAAAATGATTTATGATTTCCCAGTTTTAGGGATATGAGCTATATGTAGTATAAAGTTTTTCAATCCATGTAAAATGAATGTCCCTGTGGATAGTTAAGAAACATTTATTTTTCCAAGATTAGATAAAATTCAGCTGTGAAATCATTATTTATAAGTTAACATTAACTTACCTATGAGTATGTTATGAGTGTATTAACACGTTATACTCTTTCTTTAACAACTTGTTAATTTTCTGCTGGGCAAGTGTAAGGTTTTACTAGGTCTTAACTTTGTTTCCAGAATTTCACATGCAGCAAATTAGATTCATAAATTTGATCTGTCATTTCTCTACCTGTGGCTATAGTACTATTTATTGTTCCTAATGTAATATATTTTATATTAATTTCAGCTTTTATTTTCAATGAACTTTCCTTCAGTTAATTTTGGTTTACAATGAGCTTTTTAATGTAAGAGTGGAAACTTAATGTAATGGCACATTATTTTATTTTTTTCAGAATCATTTTTCCCGTTTCTATTCTTATACATGTAATAAGATGCATCCCTGCCCTTGTCCTGTGATTTTCAGTGCCTCTTGATAAGTAACATGGCCACTGCCCACATTGTCAGACCTGGCTATGTGATTTGGTTGCTCAATGACATCTGAGTAGAAATGTGTAAGAAAATGCTGTTAACGAAGTTGTGCGGCTATTGCTTTTTGCTTGGCTTCTCCAGATAGTGACTGAGTCTCAATTTGAGTCTTAGACCTCAGCCCCGTTTGCCTGGAGAAGAGCCACAGCCAATGCAGCCCTCGTATGACATAAGCAAGAAAGTAAATCTTGGCTATTGTAAGTCACAATCATGTTACGCTTATTTTTTAGGGCAGCAAAGCTGGTTAAAACAAGATAATGAAGACTTTCCCCAATTATTATTTTCAGTCAATTTTGACTATAAAGGTTTTTTGTTGTTGTTGTTTTGTTTGTTTGTTTCTTTTTGACGGAGTCTCCTTCTGTCGCTTAGGCTGGAGTGTGGTGGCACAATCTCGGCTCACTGCAACCTCTGCCTCCCAGGTTCAAGGGATTCTCCTGCCTCAGCCTCTCGAGTAGCTGGGATTACAGGCACCTGCCACCATGCCCAGCTAGTTTTTGTATTTTTAGTGGAGACGGGGATTCACCATGTTGGTCAGGCTGATCTCAAACTCCTGACCTCAGGTGATCTGTCCGCCTTGGCCTCTGAAAGTGCTGGGAATACAGGCATGAGCCACCACGCCCTGCCAATGTTGAATATAAAGGTATTTAAACATTTTCAAGTAAGTGGTTCATTAGTTCATTATTAAGGTATACTCCTTTTCATTGACTTTCCTAAAGATTGTAACTTCAGAAGTATTTCCTTTTTTATTCAGAAGCTAAACATTATTATGAAAGTGTTTCTTATTTTGAAGTAGTTTGAATTTTTATAATTTATTTCTAAGTTTTTTGAATTTATGGCAATGGTTATAGCCTTTGAAATATGTACTTTAAAAATCTTTAAGGCTTTACTTATAGCCAAGTACATGATCAGTTTTGTAAGTATTCCTCAGATACCAATAAATTATATGTATTCAATATTCATAGAATGCAAATCAGATATTTATGTCAGACTGTAGTTTATTACAGTATTCTGTTCCTATATGTTCTCATTTATTTAATTCTTGTAGGCCTTTCTAATTTTCAAAAAGATATATTACATTCCCTGAGTATAACTCTATTTTATTAAGCTCTCCCTGCATCTCTAATAGATCAGGCTTTATGAGGAACATGTCTTTCAAGCAAATTGTCTTATATCATTACACAACATAATATTTTACCTAACTTAAGAGCTTTTAACCTGAAAAGAACATTTTTATTTCTCTTTGCTCTAGTTTGCCTGTCATATCTTGTTTCTAAAATGATTATGTACTACTTATAATCATTTATTTTCTTGTCCTCACTATGTAAATACTCCTATCAACAAGTTTTGCTACGCCTGATAGTACAAAATTTCAAGCATACTATCATTACATTTGTCACTTCATTTTTCTTCTTTCATTTTATCTCCCCATTCAAGTGCCTATTTTGAGTCATTTATTGTTGGTTAGGGCATTTTATGAAGATTTTCCTTAGATGAGGAAATTAAAACTGGATATTCCTGGTTTTACTTTCAACCTAACAGATAAATGATAGTTTATCTGCCTATAAAATTCTATAGTTCTTTTTAAACTACCAATTTTAATATATTTCTTTGAAATAGAAGAAAATTTGGAAGCTTCTAATTTTAAAAATCCTTGAAATTCAAAAATGATGGGGGAGTGCCAGTCTATTTTCCCCCTCCACCAAGACACACACACAAACACAAACACACTCAAAATTCATCCTTTCTTTTTTCCTGGGTACATACCTGCTGAGCTAGAGTCTAATTTCCTAGCTCTTCTAGTAATGAGTCTAGAAGAAATGCACCAAGTTTCTGCCAATGGAATGTGAATGAAAAGTTGAGATGAACAATCTCTATTTTACATGCTTTCAAAAACAATGGTCAACTGTGATTTTTTTTTTTTTTTCCTTTCACCACAAGCCAGAGCAGAGTGGCAAGCAGCCTGATGGGGACAGCATCACTGAGGATGATATTAACCACAATATAGCAAAACCCAGCTTCCTAATTTATCTCATGAAGCAGAATTCCTATGACAAATTACACCAGTCATACTGATATGTGAGAGAGGAATAAATGTGTTACTTTGCTTCTCTGCTTTGCTTTGGGGTAGGGAAGGGAATAGTATAGCTTCTTCCTGGTGGTTCTCAAATTGTGGTTTGTGGACACCTGAGGGTCCTGAAGCCACTCTCAGTATGTTACCACAGTTTCAGTACTGGCACCAAACTGTACAGTAATTATTGTTCACTGTCTTGTACGTTTCACACACACAAAAGGGACAGTTTCATTTAAGAATGTCCTTGAGGAAACAGTAATAATTATGAATGTTATAAACCTTTGACGCTTGTGTGTATGTCTGTCTTTATATTAAGTGTGGAGACATCAGAACTATGCATAAGACTTATTTACTTTGTACATACATGATGTAATTGTTGTCTCCAGGAAATCCCTTTGTATGATTCAGCTGTAAGCTGAACTAGCTGCTTTTTTCATGAAGCACAATTTTACTTAAAAGAATGACTGAAAGACAAATGATGGTTATTCAAACTTGAATATTTGGCCAAAAGGAAACTACTGACAGTACTTGCTGAGGATGATATAATCTGAACTTTCAGGGAAAATCCAAATTTTGGAAACCTTATGTCCTCAGTGAGAGCTGACAGCATCCCAATACCCAAAGATTCTTCAGAAATGAATGAAAGTTGTATGTGTATGTGTGTGTGTGTGCATGCGTGTGTATCTGCATGCGTGTGTATCTGCATTTTGATATTGTATAACGAAATGTATAATTATTTGGAAGATCCACAGTTAAGCACTATTTTCCAAATGATCAATGAATCGTATTACATATCCATACATGAATAAATGATCTATTCAAAATGCAAGATAGACCAATGGATTTCAATGTAAAAGTACAAAAAGTTTATTGATAAAATTTAGACTCTACATAGCAACTAACCTATAAGAAACCATCACTCATCTAATTTCGGAACAGTGGCAAAAAAAAAAAAAAAAAGAAAATCAACAGTTATTTGAATGAAATTTAAAAAACACCTTCCTTTTAAAACTATTTATCTATATGAAGTCAGATTATTTTATTATTTTTTATTTTTATTTTTATTTTTTTGAGACAGAGTCTTGCTCTGTCGCCCAGGCTAGAGTGCAGTGGCGCAATCTCGGCTCACTGCAAGCTCCGCCTCCCGGGTTAACATCATTCTCCTGCCTCAGCCTCCCGAGTAGCTGGGACTACAGGCGCCCGCCACTGCGCCCGGCTAATTTTTTGTATTTTTAGTAGAGACGGGGTTTCACCGTGGTCTCGACCTCCTGACCTCGTGATCCGCGCTCCTCGGCCTCCCAAAGTGCTGGGATTACAGGCGTGAGCCACTGCGCCCAGCCTGAAGTCAGATTATTTTAAATGCTTCACCCAAAACAATGGTTCATAACAGATTAAATGCAGGTGCACACATGAAATCCAGCATCGTCTTCTGATAAGCCAGCCATTAACGAGTTTTGCAAAATTATAAAATTATATCACTTTTCTCACTAGCATGACAGCGGAAATATAGATTTCATTTTTTTGTTAAAATATAATTTTTATGTCAATGTGTACCAAATATATTATTTTAATAAATACACTTATGTTTTAAATTCTCCATTTTAATTTCTGATACAGTAAATATAGATATAAAGCACACAAATAAAAGCTCTTTTGGATCATTAGAGTCTAAAGAGTTCTTGAAACCTAAACCATGAGTTTACCAACACCAAAATGTTTGATAACTGCTGGCCTCATCTTCACCAAAAATAATACCAAGGCATTTTCAAGATATGTCTAGGTGTGTTCCACTTTTATTTACTAGTTTGAGAAGTTCATGGGCTATTTGATTATTGCCACTATACCATCTGTTCTCTTTTTACTTCACAAAACTCCATTTACCCTTCGTTAATTCCATTTTCTATTTCTTTTATTTTTGATGATTTGACATATTTGTCATTAACAGTATGGCATTTCAATATTTATTATTCAGTGATCATGTTTTCAGCATATTTATTGATTATGACATGAGAAACTGATTTAGTTGCAGAGTGTACACTTCTGTTCTAAATAAATTCTTTTCATTTTGTTTTTGATTTAGTGGGCTTGTTGGTTGATTTTCTAAGTTGTCACTTGTCTGCTCTGTCATCTGTCTGCCCAAGAATTTCTACTGAACTTGAATCTTCCTATATCTGTATTGCACTTGCTTTTTCTTTTTTCAGTTAATGAATTTTTCTCAGGTAAATTGGTACTTTACCTACTCCTGGCTCAATGCACCCTGATGGTTCAGTTTAAATTCTTGATATTCCATTGAGAGGGAGCATTTCCTTGTGTGTTAGAAGTTCTGCTCCTGGGGGCAGTGATGTTCCAATCTTGCCGGTGTCAATATTCATCTCATTTACGGCTCCAGAGGAAATCTCTACTCCCACCTTTCCTCATTCTTCATCATCTCACTCTTGCCCTCAGATACTGTTAACAATTCAGCCCAGAGTATTTCCAGAGCTGAAAAGACACAATGGGACTTCTTAAGAGGATAATTTAGGTCACGGAAAGGTGCTGTACTTTTTTCTCACATGGGAGCCAAGCCTCCTCAGAGAACCATGGAATTATGATCTTTGCCTCAGGCCACCCTCTCGCGGGTCCTGGGCTCACGCATGTACTACGTGAGAAGAAATTGAGTCTTTGGTTTGTTCTTGGATCTGCCTGTGATTCCTGAAATGGGACTTTATATCTTTACCACAAGCTGTTCCTACTTCTGTGCCTCAGCCACACCTTTGCTTGGGAGAACACTACATCATCTCTTATCTATAATCCTGAAACCCTCAGAAGTTTGAAAACTAAATTTCTTTAGCAGCAAAGCCTGATCTAGTGAGAATATGTATGGATCTCAGTGCACAATTATGCATGTGTTTGATGGCAGGGTCATGTGCCAGTCTTTCTCACTATGGTTTTATGCAATGTAAATTATATGCATTATATTGCTTTTCTAAATTTAAGAAATTCAGATTTTTACAAACATACATGACCCCATCTGGTGCAGTGCCTCTATACTTGAATCTTTCCAAATTCTGTTGTTCTTTTTGGTGTTATGACTTCTTTATCATCACTGTCCTCAGCCACACATGCTTAGAGAGTGTATGCCCTCCTTGCAACAAGACTAAGCTTTAATTGGCCTTTGTTGCCCACAACATTTATTTTAAATCTTCAGTTTTGCTAGTTTTAAATCTTCTGTTTTGCGATTTTAAGTCTTCGGTTTGCTAGTTAGAGTTGAGAAACTGTTTCCTTTTAAAGCCATTAAAATCCCTCAATTACATGGACTTGCCTATTATGTTTTACTCTACTTTCAAACTAGTGTGAATTGCTCTCTCCCCAGCCTCTGAGAACTTTCCCACACTGCTTGCCATTTGGCCCCTAAGCCAATGGCATGTCTTAGGTTTGTATTCATGAACAAGCTCTTCTTCCAATTATAATTTCACACAATGTCTCCATCATAAGTTAACAGGATTGGGGTGGAGGGAAACTTTGCTTCTTGTTACTCAGGTGCTCAAGCTGTAAGAGCAGTGCAATCTTGAACACTACCAGTTGCCAGGAAAACAAGGGGACTCTGCAGGGGCTCTCACCACTGGGTGATTAAACACTGGTTGGCTCACAACAGATTGGCCCGAATTAGTTAGTCTCATGGCCCCACCAAAGTCCAACAGAAAAGAGCAATACAACGTTTGCCCAGAAAAGAGGCGACCAGAAATATTAGATGAAAAGCATTAATGAATACCTCAGGGTGTAAGCCAAATAAATCCTACAATTATACACGTCACAGAATTGATGAGGAAGGACTTTTAACTATGAACCTCTTACAGACATCTGTGAATCTGAAACCACATACAGTCAGCATAATTATCTGTGTACCATCAAAACTCATACTATGTCACAGATATTTATTAAATAATTTATGTGAAGTATGATTATACAGTTAATATGATAAATCAGCATCCTAATTTTGAATTATTAGATAAAAGTCTTTACAACAAAATGTAAGCAACAAGGTGGAATTTTTCTAATTCATGTAATTTCTGCTAATGATGTTGGTGAATGCTGTGAGACATCTGTTGTTCACAAGTTCCAACTACCCATTGGGTCACTTGTAAATTTTCACACAGATTATAAACTATATTATTAAAGGATATTGTCTAGGAGGATAAACAATTTAACCGAACAAGTTAATATTATTTTAATCAGAAAATTATATTATTTATTATCTACATTAAGACTCAAATTATTACTCTAAAAAAAAAACCCTTGCATTAAAGCGAACATTGCAAGTACTGCATAGGATCTTCATTTGAATGATTAAATAAATAAAGTTGCAAGCTTCCACTTGCGATGTCTTAAATAAATCAGTTGAAGCACTTAATTGCTTTTATATTGTGAATTTCCTCATGAAAACGAATCAAGCACCTTCATTATATTATGAATTTTTTTCTTTAATTCTCAGCACTTTTTTCAGCTCATCTTATGTAAGTTATTGCTCACTTACTTCTGAATGGCTTATGCTTAATATGGTCCATCAGTATCAAAACCAGTTTCTAGAAATGGCATGATGTATCAGTATAATTTTTTTCTACAGGATCAACAATCTGGCAAAACATATATTATTTGTCTTAATCTAAGAATACAGTTATAACATATTTTTCTTAGAAATCTGGAAGGAAATGAATAGTTTCAACATTATAAACATGTAATCACATTCCATTATCCCCAATTATATAGCAAGGACATTGCATTGATAACCATATTTAAAATTGATTGCATGGTAATTTCAAACTACTATTAATAGAAATAATACTTTTTAGTCTGTTGTTTTCTAAAGATGAAACTTATTTCTAAAAGTTAACACATTTTAAAAATATAATCACATAATCTGATTTATGAAATATATTAATTTAAAAAATCACCGACATATGATGTACATGTCAACCAAACTCCTGAAAATATAATTACTTCCTCAAACTCCCTCACATGAACAACAAATCTCCCCACAAGTTGACCCCCAGTTAACTATCCATGTTACCTTGTATCTGTAATGCACTGTGTACCTGCGTCAATTTCTTATTTTTACTAGCCTTCACGCCTTCATTTATTCTTTTGTACTTTGTATGTTGCTCAGGTTACAATAGCATTGGCATATGTTATTTCCTCTGCATGAAACTTCCCCTGCCACTCTTTGCTTGGTTAAATTTTAGCAGACAATTTGCTGCTTTTTCCATTTATTCATTCCCACTCCTTTGTACAAAATTGTTCCAGAATCCTGGCAGAAATCTCTTTTCTACTTATCTTCACTCTATGTGGTTTAAGTGGGGCTGCACTCTACTCCAGGGAAGAGCACGTGTTCCTGAACTGAGCAGTCATCATGCTTGCATCCCTGCAGTCTCTGCAAAGATTGTTGCAGGGGTGGGAACATGACCCAATTTGGTCCAATTAGAATGATTTCCAGAAATGATAGGAGAGTGTCTAGGACTCAGAACCATGACAGTTACACTTGAGCAGCCAGAGGGTCAACGGGAGCAGAAGGGCTGCCTGGGAAGGAAGCCAACACAGAGAAGAGCAGATGGAAGGAGTGGAAACAGTCAGCCCTAATGCTCATGTTTGGGCCACAGATCCAAGAAGCCAAACCTGGTCTCATATTGTTCTCACATTTTTATCTCTAGTGCCTCTAGCATATACTGGGCATTTAATATACTTGTATTAATTTAACGAATGAATAACATCATTAAAATATTTACATATTTGAATATATGTGCTTTGTATTGACATCCTCCACAGTCTGAATTATTAATCATTTTCTCATTCATTGATGAAATTTCATTGAGAGACTACTGTGTGCTTGGCAATTAGCATGTCATTGTGATGCAACATAAACCAATATAAGAAATTTATTCTGCTCCCAAAGACCATAGGTAGGTTCCCTTCTTGGCCAAATTCCAATCAGCCTCTTTTGAACTTTTCTCAATACACGCTGATGTTTGGGCTTCTGTGTTTGTCTCTTCATTGTCCAGTTTTAGCAAGGATCCTGCTAAGTCAGAGTTACTAGAATTCCCTGCCCTCAATATCTGATCACCCTCAACATTTGATCAGGTCCTTATCTTCCACCATCCCCTGGGTGATGTCTGCCTGCCCTGGCCTCCCTTCAGAAAAGATTCTGTTATGTTGGATTAGCCAGAATCTCTCCAAAGCTCTGATGTTTCCTTTTAGTAATTTTCGATCCCCTTTGCAGTGGTCTTTACATCTATCATGATGGTCCTGAATAAAGTCTGCCAAGGTGGGCGGATCACCTGAGGTCAGGAGTTCGAGACCAGCATAATCAACATGGTGAAAACCCATCTCTACCAAAATACAAAAAATTAGCAGAGCGTAGTGGCACATGCCTGTAATCCCAGCTACTGGGGAGGCTGAGGTGGGAGAATCGCTTGAACCCGGGAGGCCGAGGTTGCAGTGAGATCTTGCCACTGCCCTCCAGCCTCGGTGACAGAGTGAGACTGTCTCAAAAAAAAAAAAAAAAGTGTCATGGCTCACTTTTTCTCCAACAATAGTCAAGGAAGACAGAGTGGGGAAGTCACTGAAAAGAAGGTGAGTGCTGCAAGAAACCACACAATGTCATGGAGGAGAATATGAATCTGGTCTGGGAAGAGAAGAAAAAGGAGTTAGGAAGAATTTTCCTGAAGAAGAGGAATTCAAATTAAAACTTGAGATGAAGGAGCCGGGCGCGGTGGCTCACGCCTGTAATCCCAGCACTTTGGGAGGCCGAGGCCAGTGGATAATGAGGTCAGGAAATCCAGACCATCCTGGCTAACACGGTGAAACCCCGTCTCTACTAAAAATACAAACAAAATTAGCCGGGCGTGGTAGTGGGCGCCTGTAGTCCCAGCTACTCGGGAGGCTGAGGCAGGAGAATGGCGTGAACCTGGGAGACGGAGCTTGCAGTGAGCCGAGATCGCGCCACTGCACTCCAGCCTGGGCAACAGAGCCAGACTCCGTCTCAAAAAACAAAAAACAAAACAAAACAAAACAAAACAAACTTGAGATGAAGGGATGGGAGGGAGTAGGCAAAGAAAAAAGACTCGTCTTTGAGTTGTTCCACTGAAAGGCCCGAAGAAGGCTGACTGCAGAGGAGAAAAACAAGCTGAGAGGGATTTAAGAGGCCAATGGAAGACTGGGAGAAATTAGCACATGCAGGGGATTTTAGGATACAATAAGTTTTCTGAACTTTTTCCTAAATGTGAAAGAATTTTATAAATTAGTTCAAGCAGGCTAAGTAGCTTATCAAAAAAAATTTTTTTTAAGGACAACTTTTGGGCAGAGTGAATTAATGAGTAAACCTGAGTGGAGAATGCAGCATATTTTGGGAATCCTGTCAGGAAGTTATATGCCAGTTATTTAGACTGTACTGGTGGTTTATTGCAATGGCTTAGCAAACAGATGACATTTCAGTGAAGCTAACATAAATGAATGTTTCTGAGAGTATTTTTTAAGAAGAATGTACTTTTAGTAGAATGTAAGAACTTGGCACTTGATAAGCTACATGGAGTGAGGAAAATCGAGACAAATATTCCCAGATTTCAAGTATAAACACCTATGTTCAATTAACTGAAAAAAGAAAGACTGGCATACAAGGGAAGGAAGTCATGGGGGAATCACAATTTTAGAATTATTCTTTAAAATTGGCACTGAGAAAGCTATTTTAACTCTTGAAGGCCTAAAAAAAATAATAGTTGAAGCAACTCAAATGTCTGTTGAATGGCTTGCGTTCAAAATTTTGTAAACTACTACACAATTTACATAATCTATCACAAATTTTATCATATTGACAAAGCACAAAATTGAAATTCTAAAATTATATTCCATCCGTATTAAATATATTTGCCTGACACAGTAAAATATGTTACCTTGTTCTTGAGCATTTAATACGTGCCAAGGTTGAAGGCAGGAAGGAGGCATGATCCAAGCAAAAAACAATAAGAAAATAAATTGCTATGAGATATAAAACAAATACATATTTTGTATATATATATGTGCGTGTGTGTGTATGTGTGTTTATATATATATTTTTTAAAAAAAGTTGTTTTCTTTTTTTTAAGAGATGAAGTCGTACCCTGTCACACAGGCTGGAGAATAGTGGCATGATCATAGTTCACTGTAGCCTTGAACTTCTGGGCTCAAGTGGCCCTCCTGATTCTGCTTCCAAAGTAGCTAGGACTTCAGGCATGTGCGACTCTGCATGGCCAATTTGTTTATTATTTTTATTTGTAGAGATGGAGTCTTGCTCTATTGCCCAAGCTGATCTCTAACTCCTAGCCTCAAACGATCTTGCCACCTTGGCCTCCCAAAGTTCTGGGATTATAGGTATAAGCCATCATGCCCAGCCATTTATACATATCATAAATACAGAATCTAAAGTGTAAGTGGACATTTTGGTTTGTAGTGATAAAAAGTACTGAGTTATTTTACCCCCAAACAATAAGCTGTCTTAAAACTCATCAAAAACAGAAGCTTGCAGTGAAAACTACTAGCAAAGTTTCTAATTGTGGTTTGAAAGGCAAAACATTGACCTGTTATTTGTGCTTCTTTTTCCCAGAAATGTCATAAAATCAGTCTTGGGGAATAATAAACTGTGGACCTCCCAAAGTGGCCAATATTTTATGTGCTCACTTTACTTCAAATCTTTGTGAAAATTCTGCCTTCTGCTTCATACCATATTTATGTTATATGTAAAATTATAGACAGCTTATTACTTCATTTTCTTGGTCATTCTGCTATTTCTCTGCTGCTTATCAAGTTTGCCAGTCAGCTTCTACCTCAAGGCCTATGTACCTACTGTTTTCTTGAGCCTGGAATATTCTATGCCTAGATCTAAGCATAGCTCATACTCCTATGGTATTCAAATTCCTGCTCAAATGTCAGCAACCAGAGAGCACCTCGCCGCTGATCACACTATATAAATTAACAGTCTCCTTCCCTCAAGCAATTCTAATACCCATCCCCTCCTTTCTTCCCTTCATAGCACTTTTCATCAGATATACACTTACTCATTAGCATGTTGTCTGTTTGCCCTTCCAGGTTGTAAGCAACATAAGAGCAAGGACTTTGTTGTTGTTTTTGTTGTTTTTGAGACAGAGTTTTGCTCTTTCACCCAGGCTGGAGTGTAGTGGTGCGATCTCGGCTCACTGCAACCTCTGCCCTCCAGGTTCAAGTGATTCTCTTGCCTCAGCCCCTCGGGTAGCTGGGATTACAGGCGCGTGCCACCATGCCCTGCTAATTTTTGTATTTTTAGTAGAGACGGGGTTTCACCATGTTGGCCAGGCTGGTCCTGAACTCTTGATCTCAGGTGATCCACCCGCCTTGGCCTCCCACAGTGGTGGTGTTATTTTAAGCTCTGTATGTCTAGCCTATTGCATAGTGAGTAATCAATAAAATTTGTTGAATTCATAATTAAATCATCTAATTCATCCTGTATATTTACATGTACTGAGTGTTCTATAACAGACTCCTGTATGGTCTGTGTATATTGATTTGATAAGCAAGGATGGACATAAGGAAAGGAAAATGAGTTTGGAGAAATCAACTGATGCCTGGTACTGCTGAAATTTTAACTTAGGTTAAAGACTGTTGTTGGTTTATACATAAAAAAAGGTTTGGACTAGTAAATAATATGATAAAATACCTTGAACTTGACTTTTCATATATGCATCTTTAGAAGATTAGTATTTTAGTATGCTCTACAAAGGAACACATTGGCTTTGAGTCACATGTGTCTCACCTTCCTGTTTTGGTCACTGCTCTCTCTCTCTGCTCCTGAAACAGTGGCAGGTACATAGTAGGAACAGAGACATTATTGCTGGAACAATGAATAAATGAATGAACAAATTCATGAATGAACTAATTGAGTGACAGTTGTTATTACTGTATCCAGAATTTATCAATTTCTTTCTTTGGCTTATCAATAATTGTATCCCCTTTCATCTGAACTTATGCCTTCTCAGTACCCTGATGCTCATCTCTTTGCAATTACCAAATCAATAACTGAACAGAGATCTGAAGTCCAGAGATACTAGAAATTATTCTAAAGGCGGCAACTGTGCTAGGTAGTTGTTACTAAGAGAGACAACCTCTAAATAACTTAAACTGATTATTGTGAATATCTAGGAACATTCTCTTAAAATGTGCAGGGCATTTTCAAGCCACATTGGGAAGTATACACAATCAGTTTTAGTCATCTTGAAAGCCTGCGTGGTTGGAGTATTAGTTTTGTTTTAAGAATTTTGCTTATCCCTATAATCTCTAGAGATACAAAAAACAAAAACAAACCAAAAACAGTAATAGACTTAATCCACATGAAGGGGCAGGCTTTTAAAGTTATAATATTTACATTTGGGGCACTTCTAGTCTAAACCTCTAAGAATCATACGCATTTCAGTAAAATCCTTCATTGCAAGAGCCAGATAAAATGTTCTGCTTCTCTAAATGCCCTCCGCTGGAGTGGCCAGCAAGACATCTGGAAATGTTAGCAGGTTATTAAAGAAAGCCTAAATTCACTCAGGATTCCTCCCAGGGCCCATTTCCTGACTCCATTCCGTCAACAGTGTGCCATTCCAGTTGCAATCAGGAAATTTTTCTTGTATGGGCAATGGTGCTTTCCAGCAAGAACACCTTTAAAACACATGAAAAAATATACAGAGGAAGAAACTCTAGAGGCCAAGGAGAAATTTAAAGAAACAGAACTCACAGCCTGTTGTTTCTGCTAGACAGTCTTTAGTTGTAATGTAGACATCTGTGTTTTGACTGAGATTCTGGTACCTTGATACCTATTCAAGTTTTTTAAAAAAACTTTCTCTTTTAATCCACACACATATTCCCACCCCACTCACTATGGTCTCTTTCTTTTAGTTCTTCTCTCTTCTTCAATATTAAGATAAATATCTTTCATTGCTTTATTCACATTAGTGCCTAAAGATAATAGCCTCAATACCCCTTACTTAACCGGGAAATTTTCTGCTTGGTATTACTCAAACTAAAAGTTTGAAGCTTTAAACTCTAACAGTGGAATTTGTGAAATGATCCAAGAAATAGTTAAGAAGTGAGCACGCATTTTGATTATTCAAAAGGCGACCATCCTCTATTTTTAAAAACTTATGGGTTGCTCAACAGGGCACAGAAATGAGCTAGTTTGAGTAGACTCCCTTCTGCCTGCAGTTGTACAAATTTGACATTTTTAAAAATAATGATTTTTACATAGAAACAAATTGAATCAATGAAAACCCATAAATCTGTAACAATACTCAAAAAAGAAAGAACAAAAGAAAAAATTGAAGAAACTAAAGGAGTAGAACAAAATTCAATTATTATATAAGGCATCTATAAACCAAGACTCTAAATATTTTAACTAAGGGCTAAATCTTCAGTAAATCCGTGGATTCTGTCTTTCTTTTCACTGCACCTCCAATTTTCCTGGAATTCCTGTGGAGTCTATCTTCAAACTACATCCAAAATCCAAATTCAGCTACAAATCACCACATCCATGTACAGCCACAGTCATGTCTGCAATCCCTCTGCAGCTGTCTAACCGCTCTCCATAGACTCCCACACCTGGCTTATTTAAAGGCGATTTGCAACACAGCAACCAGAGTGCCATTACCTAATCCAGGGCAATCAGTGTTACAAACCATCTGATGACTCCCCATTTAACTCAAAATAAAGTCTCAGTTCCTTACAATGGTCTCTGAACCCTGAACATCTGAGACAGGTCTCAGTTTATTTTGCCAAGATTGAAGATGCATGCCTGTGACACAGCCCAAGGACTCAAGGACTGTGAAGACATGTGCCCAAGGCGGTCAGAGCACAGTTTGGCTTTATACATTTTAGGGAGACGTGAGACATCAATCAACATGTTCAAGATGAACATTGATTCCTTCAGAAAAGGCAGGACAACTTGAAGTGGGGAGGGGGCTTCCAGGTCATAGGCAGATAAGAGACAAATGGTTGCATTGTTTTTAGTTTCTGATTAGCCTCTCCAAAGGAGGCCACCAGATATGCATTTATCTCAGTGAGCAGAGGGGTGACTTGGAATAGAATGGGAGGCAGGTTTGCCTTAAGCAGTTCCCAGTTTGACTTTTCCCTTTAGCTTAGTGATTTTGGGGGCTTGAAGATTTATTTTCCTTTCACAAGTCTACACAGAATTTAAATGACCCAGCTTCTATCTCTACCATCTCCATCTCTCTCTCTCTATCTCTATCTCCATCTATCTACCTCTATTTCTATCTCTATCTCTATCTCTGTCTCTATCTCATCTCCTCTCATCTATCTCTATCTATCCATCTCTAGCTCATCTGCACTGTATCTCCCCTCAATCTCCATTTCAGACCTCATCTCACTCCCTTGTTCACCTGCTGCAGCCACACTGGGCCCTTTGCTGTTCACAAAGCACCTAGGTTCACCCCTGCCAGTGGCATTGGCTCTGGTTACTTCCTCTACTTGCTCCTCCCCAGAAATTGACTTGCCTGATCTCTTCACTTCCTTATAATCTTTGCTCTAATCTCATCTCTGTCATGAGACCTATACTGACCAACCTATTTACTGCAACCTGTCTCTTCCCACTTTTCTATATTCCTGGCTCCCACTATCCCATCATTGTTTTCTTTATTCCATAGCATCTATAGCCTTATAACATAATTTATTGGTTTATTCTGCTAATTGTTGTTAATTGTGCCCATTACGATGTAAAATTCACATGGGCAATGATCTTTGATTTATTCAGTGCTTCGTAGGCACGTAATAAATAGTTGTTATTGCTGTTGAGGCATTTATCCTGCCTTTCTATTAGGAACTTCAGTTTGAGCACATGACTTAATAGCCCCAATTGACAAAAGAAAGTTCTCCTTTTCAGAAGAATTTTAGCATAAAAGCAATGGTAGAGTTAGAAAAGAAATATTTCATGAAGTCTAATGATATATTGACTAGACAAAGATATGAACAATCATTTGCTTAGTAAGTTAAATGGCTGATGGGAAGTGGAAATTCATATGGTATCAAAATAACCTCACACATGACTACGAGGGGGAAAAGCATAACTATAAAATACAGGGATGAGTCTGCCATCAAATTAGTAGTTAATTTGAGAAGGTTTTGTATGTCTTCTGAATAAGGTGGTCAGATTTAGCAAGTAGAAACATGGAGCACTCAACTAAATGTGAATTTCAGCTAAACAACGTAATTTTAGTATAGTTATGTTCTACACAATATTAGAAAGTCCAGGATTTTATCTGGAAGACCTACTCCTGAAATGCTACAATTTGTGATACGTAACGTCACGTGCAATGTATTCTAGTCAAACACATTTAGCTTGAACCTATACAAGCTTTAAAATTACCCTGTTTAAAGAATATTCAGGAGATAAGATTAAAATGTTCAATAACAACATAAGGGAGAAACCAGATAAAAAAGGTGAGACTGAGACGTGCTTCAGGACAAACTGTCTGCTCTCTCCAACAAATCAGTAAAATATTAACGGGAATGTGCAGGACTAAAAGACCTAAATGGACAAACAGAATATACATAAGCAGTTTTCATTTTTACCCTGGTTCCAAGAAAATGTATGTTTTGATATTTGGGGAAATTTAAATAATCATTGCTCATTCAGTGAAATAAAATATATTACCAGATACTAAAATGTGAAATGCATAGACAATCACTAAAAATGTTCCTCGTTATTTAGCATAGGAAGACAATTATGGTCCCAATAATAAAAAAAAAATAAATCTTATATTTCTCTTTAAATCAAAAAGATATTTATTTACCTAGTGGATAAAGAATCCTCATAAATTATGACTTTAAACCCATTAAATCTTGATAATGTTGTTGTAGAACTACCATATGATCCAGCAAGCCTACTACTGGGTATATACCCAAATGAAATAAAATCAGGACATCAAATTGGTTTTGGACTCATTTGATCTTCTCAGCCTTGGTTTGCTTTGTTCCCCTTACTAAGAAAAGTCAGTGGACTTCGATAGACCCCTCATTCTGTCAAATGAATGCTGGGTTAGATTAGCACTTTCTTATATAGGATACCAGATTCTTAACTATATGTATATGAGGGTAATCATGGAGGCCATTGTGTTGGTATCAGAATTTGAAACTCCTTAATTGATACAGTGCAGGTAACTAAAATGTTAACTTCATTGATATTAAGATTATTGCTAATTATTTTCCTTGAGGTTTACTGTTTCCTGTTTTATGTCCATCAGTTTTTAAAGCTTTTATAACTTAAAGCATTAAACAATTAAGAAGCAAAACCGTAAACTGCTGCAGCTCAAGAAATAGGTTTATGTTTTTAATTTTATACAGAAAGTGGTATAAATTGCTTTGGTAACCAGTGTTATTACTTCTTCTGTTCTGTTTTTATGCAGAATTAAATTTTACAAGGAAGAGATAGCTGGCCACGTACGCATCTACAGCACAGAGAGAAATATTTATCAGCAGAACCATACAAATAGTAAATGAGGACACTCTGATGTCATTGCTAAATTGTGCCAGTGTCTAGTAGAGAGTGGATGGATGCAACCTCTTTAACTTCCAGTTGACCAAGTTCCAATGCCAGCCTGTAAAAGCAACCAGAAGTAGGGCTGTACCCTGCAAAGTCACAGGGGTGGAGCTGCCCAAGACCATGAAAACCCACGGCTTGCATCAGCGTGACCCGCATGTGAGACATGGAGTCAAAGGTGATGATCATTTTGGAGATTTAAGATTTGACTGTATTGCTGGATTTGGAACTTGCACGGGGCCTATCGCCCGAAGAGATACTTTATGAATCAGAGAACGGTTAATAGCAACAAGAGGGAGATTTGTTTAGAATGACTTGCAGATTTTAACCATATTATCAGAATGTATAAAAGACTTTTTTTCACATTAAGCTGTTTAACGTAGCAGAGAAAATGAAAAGTTTAACTTTACATGAGTAATCACTTTTTCACTCTTCCTTTTGATAACACTATCTGCAAATAAATTATATTACTTAAGAAACAAATCAGCAGAGATGAGTTTTTTTTTTTACTATCTGATTATTATTTTTTTAAAGAAGTCTCATGTAAATCCTGGTCTCTCTGCAGATGCACATGAAAGTAAATTGTCTAAACTTCTATGTATAAATAAGATTAATTGAAATCAAAATTTTTGTGTAAACTGGCCTTATTTCATTATATATTAATTGATGCTTTGTTACAGAATGGGTAATATGTAAATAAACCACCAAGTTTTGGAAAAAAAAACGTACATTTTTAAGAACCTAAGGGAACTTCATTATTTTATTTCCAATTATGCAGCATTTTAGATTACATTGAAATGAGGAGTTATTTTTTCAAATTATTTCTCGAAGACATCATTCACTCTAATGTACATGTCAACTTAAACAACTGTAATTCTATTTAGGCTTTATGCTATATTCCATCTCCAGCTAGGCATGTGCCTAGCACAATCCCATTAGTAAATTCTCCAATTACTAAAAATGGGCATTCTCATGAGGATAGTATTTGCTTAAAAATATGCATCGTAAGTCCCCAGAGATTCTAACTCAATGACTTTTAAAAAATTGTTCTTATTAAATTTCACTGCCAGAAATAATTTGAAAGACACACTCAAAAATAACACCAGCGATGTAAGCATTAGTAAATTCACCGCAGCATGAATTGTTAACAATTCTTAACTATTTAAAACAAAATCTGACAACAATGAGGAGTCAAATAAATTATTTGGGGTCTATTTGAAAAACACGCTATGTTTAGGGGGAATGAAATGTAACTACAGTGCTGACCTAGAGAGCATTATAAGATAAGATATATTAAGTGAACAGTACAGGGTTCTTAATTTTAATATGATCATTTTTGCATTAAGAAAAATACATCCATGTCCTTTTTAGTGAATGTGCAAAAATGTAGTATAATGACAGCTTACAAGAAAGTACAAACAGTGATTATCTTTGGGGTAATGGATGGGAGTCTGATAATAGGGTCAGGAGATATTTGCCCTGCAAATATATCTAGTACTTGTATTGCTTTCATTAAAAGATTAGCAAGGGTAATTATATTACAAGAGTCAGAAAATTTTCCAAAATAGGGAAGAGCAAGAAAAGAAAAAAAAGATGATGAGGAGGTTGGGAATGTATACATGAGCCTATTTTTTTTTTTTGAGATGGAATTTTGCTTTTGTCACCCAGGCTAGAGTGCAATGGCGTGATCCCGGCTCACTGATACCTCAGCCTCCCTGGTTCAAGCGATTCTCCTGCCTCAGCCTCCCAAGTAGCTGGGATTACAGGTGTGTGCCACCAAGCCTGGCTAATTTTTATATTTTTAGTAGAGACAGGGTTTCACTATGTTGGCCAGGCTGGTTTAGAACTCCTGACCTCAAGTGATCCACTCGCCTCGGCCTCCCAAAGTGCTGGGATTACAGACATGAGCCACCATGCCAGGCTGAGCCTTTTTTTTTTTTTTTTTTTGACAGGGTCTCACTCTGTTGCCAGGCTAGAGTGCCACGGCAGGATCTTGGCTCACTGCAACCTCCACCTCCCGGGTTCAAGTGATTCTCCTTCCTCAGCCTCCCGAGTAGCTGAGACTACAGGCATGCGCCACCACGCCTGGTTAATTTTTGTATTTTTAGTAGAGACAGAGTTTCACCATGTTGGACAGGATGGTCTCGATCTCCTGACCTCGTGATGCGCCTACCTCGGCCTCCCAAAGTGCTGGTATTACAGGCATGAGCCACCGTGCCTGGCCCAAGCCTATTTTTTAAAGGTACTAAAAATGTTCTGTTGTTTAACATGAATGGAAATTACAAAACTATTGTTTTACAGCTATTCTTAAAAATGTAAAAACATTTTTATACATTCTTCTCTATGACATATTTTACAAAACGAACTTTTATAAAATGAAAACTTTTACCAAGTATGATAATGTTTCACCTGCATATGCATGTGCTATTATAAAACATCTGTCTTTGACTAAATTTTCTGTTCTCTAAATGTTAGCAGTGACATTCCTCTTGATTTTATTTTTAAGTTAATTCATTATAAATTCTGCATCTGTACTCCCAGATATATAATTCCATCAATGAAACAATATTATTCTTTATTCTTTAAAATATGGTTCACTGTGAAATGTAAGTATTATAAGCTGACAAAATTCTAAGATAAACTTCAAATACAGACATATATTTCTTGCCTCCTCTTATATGTCATTTTTCTTTCTGTGCTTTGAGACTTACTTTTTCAAAATTCTTTTCCTTAGTCATATATTCATTAAAATTTAAATTCCATTATAGGTTTGATGCTAAGCTTTTTAGTTAACTTATGGTTTCTCACCACATTCAGAATTTCAGAACTTATTCTGAGCCCTAGTTATTGCCCTCTCATTCAAGTTATCTGGAAACACTATTAAAACACTTAATTTGGCCGGGCGCAGTGGCTCACACCTGTAATCGCAGGCTGGGCGACAGAGCAAGACTCCGTCTCAAAAAAATATATAAATAAATAAAACACTTAATTTTCTTTCCTCATTTACTGTTCCTGGCCTCAAGTTAAGTATTTCTGTGTATCCTGGATCCCATCATAGCATCCAACCCTTTAAAAAATATCTTATTAAAAAATATTTGAACTTACTGAGGGAAAATTTTACTATTAAAATTACAAAGGATAAGAGAGAACATTTCATTTGTTTTGAAAGACCTACTTCATGGCAAAAAGTACTTACTCACGTGTACACCGATGTTATATGTTCACTATATTCTAGTACCTTGTTGACCATAAAGGAGACTACATTTCCAAGTCTCCTTTACAGATTAGTTGGAGTCTGTAACTGAGCTTTGTCAAGGGAATGTGGTCAGAGGTGACATACCACTTGCAAATACAGTCCTTAAAAAAACGCAATCTTCTCTTTCCCTGTCATGCAACCAAGGAAGTTACTTGTTGTAGCTGTCACAGATACTTATACAAAAAAAAAAAAAAAGAAAGAAATTTGGATCTTGGAGCCACTGACTGGACAAGAGTGGTGAGGAAGATCTGGCTTTCCTACTTTACACAGAGAGGTGAGTGAGACTTATACCTTTTTTTTTTTTCTTTACTAGGCCACCGATATTCCAGGTGTGACTTGTTATCTCTATAGAACCCACTTTCCTTTGTCCTACAGGATTATGTATCTTGTAAAAAAAAAGTTGCCAAAAGCAAAGAAATGAAAACAAAACTTTGAAATGTGAGGACCAGCAAGGAAACTGATTTCAGGAGGTTAAGACTTAAGGTGATAATTTTATGCAGAAGTAAATATTTAGTAAAGCTTTTACCTGCAGTAGCCTAGAAAAATTTGCAAGAGCAGAAGATTTCATGAAATAATTGCCTAATTCGCCCATGTACGTGAAAGAAAATTCAGTGCCCAGAAACGTGGTGATTTTTAGGACAGGAAAAACTCAATGCTTTTAGAACCCAAACAGTGAAGGATTGGATTCAAAAAGACGTTGATAACAAAGGCTCAGTAAATAATAATGTGACTTAGAGTAAAGATCAGATTTAGGGTGAGATTGTCTACCTATAGGTTTTCTACTGCTTCCAGATGGTTTCCATTTAATTGAGGTAAAAACACATAAAAGTGAGAAAAGTAATAACTAAAGTAGTTTTTTAGAAACTTTAAAAAAGCAAAAAAAGGTGACAAGTATTCCCATAAACCTCAAGATCCAGGAAGGCTGGCCACTCTCAGCAACTACCCAATGTAATATGAGCAATTCTATGGGATGAAACAGAGGTCTGTGAAACCTCAGATCAGTCTGAAATGCACAGAACCCAGAAATTCCTAACAAAAAGAGAAGTTTTCATCCAGAATGGAGTCTTGGTGGGATGACTTGAAGACAAAAGCTGAAATGGGGAAGAGTGGGGTGAGGGCTGCAGGGTTGCAGGAAGTTCCAATGATGCTGGCATAGCCTGGGAAGAAATAGCACGTGAAATTCTGCAGCCTAAGCTCCGATTCAGAGCAGAGATTTATTACGAGGAGAAATCACTGGGAGGAGAATCAAATTGTGAAGTACAGTGAATCCAAGAGCAAAAGTAAAGATGAGGTCCAAATATACGATGGAAAGAGGAATAGAAAGAAGGATCCCACAAAATAAAGAGGAGCCATATTTTTTTAACACTGTTTTGGAAACAGAAAAGTAGAGAACCTTAGATTCTTGAAGATAGAAAATGTATAGTGGTGCACCCACCAACCATCTGCATAGAAGCCTCCCTTTAAAGGGGCAGAACAGCCATTGTGTTCAAACACAAGGCATGAATTGAGTGCAATGAAAGCGTATCCAGATACAACCAAAGGTAAAAAGGAGAATTCACTTACTGACATCCCAACAGACATGAAGACACTAGAAAGACATGGTCAGAAAAGAAGTAAACCAAAAGTTTAATACTACAAAATGAGCTAAAAGAAATCAAGAAAACAACTGGAGATGTAAAAGAACAGCACCACCAGAATCAGAGCAACTCAGGTATGAACGATTAGACAAAAATGAAAATGCAAAAAGGGAAACTGACAAAGGGAAAGAAGTAGAACTCAGTTAAAAAAATAATAGAGAGAGAAATTTTAAAAATTAAGGAAAGAAAACTAAGTTGAAAGTAACACAAGAGTGAACAGAGATAAAAACAGATTTGAGAGAAAACAGAAGCTGCAGGAGGCAGTCAAAGAATTTCAACAATGGAATCAACACAGAAGAAAACTGAAGCAATGGAAAAGAACAAAGACTGAAACTTGTAATTAAAATCAACTTTCTCCAATTAAATGTTTATTGGAACCTAAATATTTAAAAGAAGTAATACGTATTTAGGAAAATCATCCCATAACAATGAAAACTTAGATATGTTCTTATAGAACTACTAGACTTCAAAACAAAACAAAACAAAACAGGAAAATATCACTAGGCATCCAGGCAATAAAGCTCACATTATTTCTAGGGGATGTAAAAATCAAGTTGATAATGAGATGTCTCAAGTCATCTGCAAATACAAAAAGAGAAATCGGAAGGCGGTTACTTAAGCCATGAAACACCTCTTACACACATGTGCTTAAAGACAGTCCTTTTAGGAATTATACTTGATAGAGATGTTCACAACCTTCTCATATATTTTTCCTGTAAGATTAATGTTATGATTTTAAACTAGTTCCAAGTATACAATATACTGATTTCTTTTCATGCACTAGGATTATTCCATTTTTACAGCTAGATCATTTAATGTATCACGCAGCTATAAGATTCTGGAAAAATAAAAACTTTTTTATCCCAGATTTTCTATCTCTAAAACACTTATAACATGTTAGTATAGCATTGGGAATCATAATTATTAGAACTTCAAGGCCCTGAAAGCCCCTCTAGAAATAATGGTGCTTAATTACAAAGCCTCATGATATTAATTTTTGTGTAGTTTGTATGAAAATACGTACCCTCTAAGAGACCCTTAGGGAGTGGAAGGAGGACCTGGGCTAAATAACCTTAATTCTGCTGGAAAAATGTTTCTAATATAACTAATATACTAAAGCTCTCATCTGTTCTGCACAAGGCAATTAAAACAGTCCCCTAACACATGGGGTGGCAGCCTCCCTCTCCCATTTATAATCCCATCAACTTTCAATGGTCACTTCATCCATATTTACCCTTTAAATGATAGAAGGTAAAAAGGGAATGCTACGCTGGGCGCTGTGGCTCACGCCTGTAACCCCAGCTCTTTGGGAGGCAAAGGCAGGTGGATCACGAGGTCAGGAGATGGGGACCATCCTGACTAACACAGTGAAACCCCGTCTCTACTAAAAATACAAAAAATTAGCCGGGCATGGTGGCAGGCGCCTGTAGTCCCAGCTACTCAGGAGGCTGAGGCAGGAGAATGGCGTGAACCCGGGAGGCGGAGCTTGCAGTGAGCTGAGATCGCGCCACTGCACTCCAGCCTGGGCGACAGAGAGACTCCATCTCAAAAAAACAAAAAAACAAAAAAAAAAAGAAGGCTACGTAATTTTTTTGAAACTGTCAATAGCCAATCGATTAGGAAAAGAATTTTATCAGGGAAAAACTGTAGACAAGATTAAGTATTAATTTTTTTATTCTGATAAAACACTGATTCTTAGGATGATGGGTAGTCAAGAAAAAAAAATTTTAAAATACAAATAGCCACTAAATGTTAGTTTTTAATGGTCAGAGAAAAATTTGTCTCTACTAATTTGGTCTCAATAATTACTATTACAATCAGGAATATATAAAACCAGCAAAACGTGAGATCATTGATTTGGGGAAATGCACTTTTCAAGAGCAATTTATATAGTAATGGAAGAATATCCTTGTTTGTTCAATAAAACATGAACATAAAGAAAGCTTTTAATGACGTCTGTAGGGAAAATGATACAAAAAATTCAATTAAGAAAAACCAACAGTAAGTAAAATAATATATGTGAAATGACCTGCGGTCTTAAAAATATACAACTTATACCAAAAGTAAAATTTATATTCAAGCTTTTTCAGTGAATGAAATGTTTTAAAATACGCTCCCCCCCGCCACCGGCTCCCCCCGCCCCCAACAGCCAGCTTAGCAATATAAACCTTGGATTTCTTGGTAAGTAGAAACTAGGTAAACTGAATAAAAATGTAGTATATCAATGTATTAAATTGATACAAGGTTAGAATTTTAAATATTATACATATATTTAAATATATTTTATTATGTAAATTAAATGTATACAACATGATTTTGTATATACATGGTGAAATGATTACTACAGTCAAACAAATTAAAATATTAATCACCTTCTATAGTTACCTTTTGTGTGTATGTGTGTGTGGTGGGGGGTTGGGGGTGGAAGGTAAGGGAACCTAAAATCTACTCTTAGCAAATTTTCAGTAGACAATACGATATTACTAATGACAGTTCCCATTCTGTAAAATTTCTTCTATTCTGTCCATCCTAAAACAAAACAAAACACTAAGACTATTATAACAATATTAAATAAAATATGAAAATACCTATCAACCTCTGCTATCACTCTAACAAAGTGAAATGAACTTGGTACACTGTACATAATATTTACATATTAATATAACACATAATATATTGTATATAGTACTAATTTTACATATTATATTTATAACTCATACCATGTGTCCAACCAGTACTTATTTTCATGTAGAATGAGGAAAATTTTACAGATGCTTACTCCTATCTACCAGGAGTGAAGTTTTATCAAAAGGCATAGATTTCAAAATCAAAAAAGATCGATTTAAAGTTGAATGAAAGAAAAGCATTATAAAATAATTTTTATGTACAAACAAATACATTTATACAGTACAATTTATGCAAATAAGCAGGATGTTTGCATCAAGAAAAAAGTTAAGAGTAAACCTTGTCTGATTGCTGGAAAAATTTATCATGGAAATTACTCAGGAAATAAATAAATTCAGATTTGTCTAAAAGCCTCTGATAAATATTTTTTTTCAAAGCTTGTCTACAATTGCATACATCAGTTTTAACCTAAAATTTCTGTGGCAATTAAAGAGTTTCAATAAGGGTTTGTAAATCCATGCTTACAAATTTGCTTGAAACAAGTAAACCAGACAGGTGGAAAAATTCAAAGTGGCAGTTTTAATTAACAAGTACGTAGCTTCTAGCCACAGTTTACCACTTATTAAATGTTGACTACTCAAAGGAAAAACATAAGTTGGAGCTACATTTCCAGAGAATATAAATATGAGAGAAAGAAAGCTCAAAGGTGGTGAGCTGAGAAGCAGAATAGAATTTGAGGAAAAAAAATTAGTAGGATAGAATTTGAGAAAAAATAAAAAAATTAAAGATAAAAATACACAATATACTTATTATGTTGATATTGATAAGGTGAAACAGATCAATAACCCCATGCCAAAAAAAAAATGCCCTTGTCTCTACCTACATTTAGAGACTATCATTAAAATACAGAACAGTTCATGGAACTCAACATGATATTGTGATATATCACCTGAGTATAAAACCCAGAAATTATTATAAAATATATAGAACTGACAATACTTGTATGCCTGCAAACATCTCTCTCATTCTATGTTGTAAAGTATTGAATTTTTGTCATAATATAAGGATATTGTTTCATTTTACATGTCATTGCTGGTTACTTATACAACTTTTGTTAAAAAATAAAAAGAAAGAATGTTTCAAAATAGTGAATACATAGTAAAGCAGGCTGAGGGAGGTTCATATGCCACAGTCCCTAGCAACATTGTATATTTTACCTGCTTTGGGTAACCTTTGTTTTCATGAAGTTAGATTGATGGTTGCGTGAGTCCAAAATCCATTGTATAGATTTTCACTGTGTGGGTCTTGATTAGAAATTGCTCTCACAGACATTCCACAGCATCAGCAGAGACAGCACTCTGAAAGTTTGGGATCTGGGGACAGAGTTAGGAGAATGCTGTTGGCTGTGTAGGACCATGCTACTGAGAGGAGAGAGCCTCCCTGAAGTCAGAGTTGTGACCGCGCCTTTGAAGAAGTCTGGAATTTGCAAACTTTGATCATGAAAGCAGCATTAAAGCATGAGGATCTGGGAATAGTGCCCACAGAGCATATGATGCCACAGCCATGCTCAGTATATGCCCATTTTATTCATGTTTTAATGGAATTTCTGGCTTGAGAACACATCCTACGGGAGACGTGATTTTTGTATATAAGTCAAAATTTCAGAGATGTAAATGTGAAACCAAATCATTTATGGATTCACCATTCACTGACATATTTTAAAAATCAAGAAACTTCCTAAGCAATGGGACTACGTTACCAATACTCTTTGAAATTTTGTTGGTTCTAAGAGAAATTAGTCTCTGAAACAAGGCTTGGTCCTCTTCAAACAGGGAATGGAAGCTATTATATGCTGCCCAGATACCCCAGCCAAAATGATGTCCAGTTCCCCCAACTGCTGGGAGTGCTGCCATCAGACTGCTCTCAGTTAGTATCCCTCCTTTTAAATTTTTATTATTTATTTATTTATTTATTTATTTTTGAGATGGAGTTTTACTTTTGTCGCCCAGGCTAGAGTGCAATGGCACGATCTTGGCTTACTGCAACCTCCACCTCCCAGGTTCAAGTGATTCTCCTGACTCAGCCTCCCTAGTAGCTGGGATTAAAGGTGCTAGCCACCATGCCCAGCTAACTTTTGTATTTTTAGTAGAGATGGGGTTTCACCATGTTGACCAGGCTGATCTCGAACTCCTGACCTTAAGTGATCTGCCCACCTCGACCTGCCAACGTTCTGGGATTACACACATAAGCCACCGCGCCTGGCCTATTATCCTTCTTTTACCAGCCCCTTTGTCAGCCTGTGTCCAGCAACTAACTAGTCATAAGCTATGTGTCTTGATCCCAAGTGAGTATCAGTTTAATTTCTTTGTTAACGAGTTTCCAGACCCCTAGTTCCCATCATAGGCCATTATTGAAGGCCATCTCAGCTTTGCAGTGCCTGTAAAGTCAGCTGGGGTTTTGTTGTCACTACATGGCAGCCCAACTTCTCCTAGGTCCCTCTCCTGTTTCCTTATTTTTCTGTTCATGGGTATTCATTCTTAGACAAAGCTCTGCACACTGATATTTATCTCCAACTCTGCTTCTCAGGGAACCCTACCTGTGACAAACCCAGTTTATCTATGTAATGGTTAATTTTATGTGTCAACTTGATTGGACTAAGGAATGCCCAGATAGTTGCAAAAAACATTATCTCAAGGTGCGTCTGTAAGGGTTAGCATTGGAATTGGTGAACTGAGTTAAGACAGAAGGTCCTCCCTAACATAAACTGGAATTATCCAATCCTTTGATGGCCTGAATAGATAAAAAAAAGTGGAGGAAGGGTGAATTCTCTCTCTCTTCTTGAGCTGTGATATCCATCTTCTCCTGCCCTCAGACATCAGAGTTCCTGATTCTCAGACATTCAGCAATGAACTGGTAGTTTCACAATTGGCTCTTCTGGTTCTCAGACCTTCATATTTGGACTGGAACCGACACCACTGGTTTTCTTGAGCTTCCAACTTGAAGAGAGCAGACTGTGGTAATTCACAGCTATCATAATAGCAACAGCTAATCCCTCATAATAAATGTTTTGCTATATTATCTATATCTATGTCTGTATTCATATCTATATCTATTTCATTTGTTCTTTTTCTCTGGAAAATCTTAATACAGTTATCATACTCCGTACAGTTGGTAAAATAGAGGATAGGGAAGTAAGTCTGTGTCACTTTTGTTGTCTGCTCTGAGAACACACTCCTCAGGATGCTTTCTGCTGTAATGAGGAGAAGTGAAAATCCCATCACGAATGGCGATCTTGTGAACCATCTGAAACTTCACTTTCCCCCCTCCCCACCAAGAAAAAGATTATGTTACAGCTTACAACAACAACAGAAAATTAATGCAATAGGGTAGCACAAACACTTTAGAATTACTTTGAAATTTAAGAGGAACCATAGTTGTAAATGCTGCTGAGAAACCCGAGAAAATTGGTGGGAGAGAAGTACAGCAGAGACTTTGCCAAGAGCATAAATCTATGAACTAAAAAAAATCCCTAAGAGTGATTATAGAATAAATTTTTATGTAAAATAAAACAATATCAAGTACTCAGATTTTAGGAAAAAGAGTGTGATTTATTTTCTCTGAAGGAAATGGCTTTTCACGGCATTCAGTATTGTAAATATATAAAACTTTCTGCACAAATTAATTGCTCCCTGGATATGGGGTTTCACAACACTCTGGCATGATATGTTTTATATTCCCTCAGAGTATTTCTGTGAAAGAGAAATATATTCAGTGTGGCAGAAAGTTGTATTCAAAATATTTTCTCAATGGGCTGATGATTGTGGTTGAGAGAAGCCTCAGAAGGTAGGGAGATGGCATTGCCCTGGGTCATCAACATTCAAAATGTTCATAATTTGAAACGTGGGATTTTAAAAGCCATGCTTCCAATTCAAGAATAAAAAGTTAAAACAGAAAAGTGGGAGAAGACTCGTATTGTTAAGGATATCCTTGTGTGTACCACCATATGAGCTTTTAAAACTTGATTAAAGCTACCTTCATGGTAATTGCTGTAGGCCACAAAAGTTTTAGTCACAGTTCTGAATTTTAGAAACTTAATAATGGCTAATGCGTATTGGCACGTTACACATTAGCCATCACTAGAGTGACCAGCTGCCTCAGTTTGCTCATGACTGAGGGGTTTCCTAGGCATGGGACTCCTAGTGTTAAAACTGGGAAAGTCACAAGCAAACTGGGATAATTGATCACTCTAATTGGCACTTACCATTTCCTAGGTATTTAATATATCTCTCCATTATTTAATACTCCCATAAACTCCACATGGCAGGTTCTACGAGGATTCTAACCCAGAGAACTGAAACCTCCTAGGGGCTGCATTTTTTTTCTCATGATTCCACATGACTTTTCATTCCCTTAAAGTTTTGGTTTGAATAAATGGGAAGGACGTGGCACTCCTTTGTCTTAGCTACGAGGACGAATGCTGTTCTAATTTCCTTCCAAATGTGAATGAAAACATAAAAAAAAAAAAGCAAAACAGGTGATGAGGGCAAAATACACAAGAAGGCTAGTCTAGGAGAGCATCTACTGATATAGATTATAGATTGCATTAATCAGGTTTCTCCAAAAAGACAGAAACAACAGCATATAGATGCATGCTTAAGAGAAAACTTATTCTGGGAATTGGCTCACTAGATTATGGAAGCTGGCAGGTCTTGGGATATTCTTTCTGAAAACTGGAGAATCAGGAAAGCTGGGATATAATTTATTCTGAGTCTGAACAGGCTGGATAATATGCACTTGCATTGTAGGGAGCAATGTGGTTTACTTACTTTACCAATTCAAATGTTAATTTCTCCCAGAAACACTTTCACAAACATATCCTGAATGTTTTACCAGCTATCAAGGTATACCTTAGGCCAGTCAAGTTGACACATAAAATGGATGATCACAAGTCCACCTCTTGTCAACTTAGCACCCATATGCATCTCTTTAAACTGTGCTTAATTTTCAAATAAAGACAATATCAGGGTCATGATTCCACCTAGCATGATACAACTATCCTGCATACGACCTACAACACACCAATCTCTTCCTTAAGTCCCTGACCGTTGTTTAATCTTCTTTGAATGTACCATAAGTTCAATACTACGTTGTAATATAATAATGCTTAAACTGATTTATATATCTACAATGGACTACTATTCAGGTATTAAAAAGCTATGAAAAAAAGAATTAAAACCAGCCAGGCATGGTGGGTCATGCCTGTAATCCCAGCACTTTGGGAGGTCGACGCAAGAGGATCACTTGTGTTCAGGAGTTCGAGACAAGCCTAAGCAAAATAGTGAGACCTCGTCTCTACAAAAAATCAAAAATTAGCCAGGCATGGTGACATGTGCCTGTGGTCCCCGATACTCGAGAGACTGAGGTGGAAGGATCGCTTCAGTCCAGGAGGTCAAGGCTGTAGTCAGCCGTGATTGCACCACTGCACTCAGCTTGGGTGACAGAGTGAAACCCTATAAAACAAAACAAAAAAAAAAAACAAAAAAATAAAATCCTGTCACTTGTGACAACATGGATGAATTTGGAGGATATTATGTTAATTGAAATTAACCAGGCACAGAAAAACAAATGCTGCATGTTCTCACCCCCTTTTTAGATATGGACTCTAAAAAAGTTGATCTCATAGAGGTAGAGTAGAATAGTGGCTACCAGGGGCTGGGGTAGTTGGGAGTGGGGTGGTTGGGAAGATATTGGCCAAAAGATACAACATTTCAGTTAGGAGGAATAAGTTCAAGAGATCTATTTTACAACCTAGGGACTATAGTTAATAATATATTGTATTCTTGAAAAGTGCTAAGAGAGTAGATGTGAAGTGTTCCTTACAAAACAAAAATGATGACTATGTGAGGTAATACGTTGTTAATTAGCCGGATTTAGTAAATTCACAATGTATGTATACTTCAAAATATCATGCTGTATACAGTAAATACAAATAAATTTTGTTGATGTATAAAAAGAAAACAATTTTTCGATGCTTATGTAAAAAATAATAAATAAATAAAGTCAATACATCTTATGTTGCACCATGAAGGAATAGGAGAGAAAATAAAAATATTTGCTTAATATATGTGTAAATACACACAAACATTTTCATAAGAACATATGGAGGAAATACTCATGACAATTACAGTATTCATTTCTGAGATAACTGGTATTTATAACTACCTTATTTTACTATCCACTCTGTATTTATTTTGACTTCACCAAGCACCTAAGCAGGTCATGGTTTCTTCACCTTGTGGGGTAACCCAAATCCTTATTCCTGAAATGTGTGGACTATTAGGAAGTAATTTCTGCCTTGACTGGGTGGTTGTGGTTTTCTATGGACCATAATCACAAGGTATGATAATACTAAGACTCCTCGAAAAATCTGTATTGCAGACATACTTATTTTTTACCTCCATTGTGAGTAATGGTTCAATTTTCCTTTGATGGTCAAGATTAATCACTCCAGCCAAAACTATAAATCACTTCTGAAGTTAACATGGTGGCAGTCTTAACTTGCCATTCAGTGGAATCACTGTTGTGTCTTTTGGTGGAAACACTCCTCCCTTTGGAACTAAAACCTTTGGACCCTCAGAACCTAATGTCATGAGAGGAGGAAGCAAAAGTTGTGATAGTGGGTTACTTCAGATAATGGTAACATCACTCTCATTTCCACGTCTTAATTCCTTGACCCATGAATTCTAGCTATTGGAGAGGCAGCATCATATATTGGACACTGATTCAGAGCATATGCTATCTTCTAAACAATCTTAACCCAGCCCTACAAGGGATTGTCACCTAGCTGACACTGTAACATTGCTTAGTCAAACCAGCTGCTTTAGGATGGCGGGTAATATGGTAAGACCACTGAATTCCATGAGCATAGGCCCATTGCTGCATTTTGTTAGTTATTCAGTGAGTTTCATGATGAAAAACAATTCTGAGGAGAATACCATGATGGTGGATAAGGCATCCTGGAGGTAAACAAATGGTATTGTTGAAAGAACTATTGCATGTATTGAGACAAATAAATATCCAAAGTAGTTGTCAGATTGCTGCCCCTTCCATGATGAAAGCAGTCCATTCTAATCAATTTGACACCAGGTAGCTGGCTGATTATCCCACCGAATGGTTTCATACTGGAGGCTCAGGGTTGATTTCCACTGCTGGAAGATTGAGCACTCAGCAGTGGCCATAACCTGGCCATTATTGGTGAGTGGTATTCCACATTGTTGAGCCCATGCCTAACCTCCATCCCTGCCACCATGGCTATTTTGTTCATGAACCCATTGGGTTATGACAGGGGTGGCTGGGGAAAGAGTGTGTCTGATATCCACGTAACAGGTCATTCTATCTAGGAGATTATTAAATTGTCAACTTTTTAATATATTTTTCAATCATATTCCTCCCAAGTCCCTGACCATCCAGCCAAATCATTGGCTAATACCCATGAATTGGAATATAATCTCATGCCTAAACATTTCACCTTCAAGGCAAAGGGCACAACCAGGTGCACTGCCTGAAGTTCTGCCCTCTGGGAAGATTTCCCTTCACCACTCTCCTTCAGGGATATCCCAGAGAAGGGATTACATCTGTCCACTTTCAGAGTGGTGCCCACATATCAGGCAGAACCATCTGTAAACCAAGCCCAAGTCTTCTTTTTCTATGTCAATTGATCATACACAACACCCCATGAGGCTGCAGGTGCAGGCTGGGAGAGGACAGGCTGTGCAGCAGAAGTGGGTACTATGGGCAAGTGGGCCACTTCTGCATGTAGCTGACCTGTGCCTTTTGAGTCTATTCAGGCTCCTTCATTTGAAGATGAAGTATTGTTGTGTGTGCCCAACTATATGACTTGGTGGGTCAGATAATGCCAGTTTATGATGGGTGGCACAGGTAACTTGGTGGCCTGTGATCAAAGCACTCAGTTTCTATTAAGTGTCTATAGCAGGCCAAGAGCCATTTATCAAAAGCAGAATAATTATCTGCATATGAGGTTAGAATTCTTGCCCCAATATCTTAAAGGCCCAAAGTGCAGTTCACCATGGGGGCCTGAAAAAGTCTCCAAACAGCATCCCCAACTACAACTACTCTAGGTAGACACAGGACCTCAGATTCACTTACCTAGAGCAGAAGCTGGAGGATGCCATAAACCAATAAAAACAGTAAAGTAGAAATTTTCATGAATTACTAGAAGCCAACTGTCAGCTAACACGAGAATGAGAACCTTCTGGGGGCCACAGTCATAGCCTCCCTCTCCCAGACACTTTCACAGCCTTTTACTCTAGGCACTCTGCCAGGTTCTCATTGTGAAGCTCAACCTTAACCCCTATGACTGTGGTAGGTGGACAGAAAGTTTAGTTACTGTGACGTTCACCCTGACATTTCATTCTTCTGAAAAAAAAAAAAAAAAAGATTTGTTTAATCTCAGGAAAGTCATCATCAGAAGCCAATTAGAAAATCCCATTCTAGCCAGTCCGCAGGAACTCTGGCCCACCAGCTTCCTCACTCCAGCCCCATTCCAGCCTCCCTGTCTTAACTAAAAAGAAAATAAGGAACATAATTACAAGAATATAGATGGAGAAAAATTAAAATATAGCTGCTGCAGCTGACGAAGGATTAGGAGGCAGGGGAACAAAGCCCTATTACTGGAGAAGGGACAGAAACACTTAAGAAGGCCACAGCTCCAAGACACAGGACCCGGTGCACTCCAAAAACTGAGAGTTAATCAAAAGATTAGAGAATGCCCTCTCTTCTGTACATGATATGGCCACGCTCATAAGACTTCATTAGTAGTAGCAATGATGAGGAGAAGTGCAAAGGGAACCCCATAGTCAATAGTCAAGAAGTGAGACACAAACAAGGTCAGCATAGAAATGTGAAGTCTTTAGAACCCATAGCTACAACAAATGTCAAACACAGAGCAACCTATTGCAAGATAAACTTAAATCCTCAAATTTAAGGCCTACTTATCTCAATATTTAATGCTTTGTTTAACATGTTTAGCTTTCAATGACAACAAAAAAATACAAAGCACACCAAAAGCCCAATGAAAACTGAAGAGATAAAGCAATGATGTGAACCAGACTCAGAAAAGATGCAGGTGTTGGAATTAGCATTCAGAGGTTTAAAAATAAATACTGTTACTACATTAAAGTCTCTACAGGTGTGAACTGTGCACGATCAGATGTGCATTGACAGCAGAGAGATGGAAACCATAATAAAGATTCAAAGGGAATTACTAGCAATGAAAAGCACAGTAACAAAAATAAAGAATGCCTCAGAAGGGCTCATTAGTAGACTTAATACATTTAAGGAAAGAATCAATCAAGTTGAAGATGGGGCAGTACAAATTGCCCAGATTAAGATGTAAAAAGAAAAAGGAATGAGAGAAAAAAAGGGAGAACATAATTTCCAAGAACTGTAGGACAATAGCAAAAGGTGCAACATACATGTCATTGGAATGCCAGAAGAAGGAGAAAAACAGAAAGGGGCAGAAAAAGTATTTAAAGAAATAAAAGTCAAAGATTTTCCAAAATTAATAACAGACACCAAACCACAAACCCAAGAGTTTCAGAGAAAACAAAACAGAAACAAAGTAAAAAAAAAATTACTTAGACATACCACATATACATTGCCAAAAACCAAAGACAAAGAGAAATTTTGAAGGCAGTCAGAGAAGGAAGCACCTAACCTATGGAGAAACAATAATAAAAATGACCAGAAACCATGTAAACAAGAAGACAATGAAGTAAAATCTTTACAGTGTTAAAAGAAAAACTGTCATATCTGAATTGTATACATTGAGGCGAGTGGATCAACTGAGGTCAGGAATTCAAGACCAGCCTGGCCAACATGGCGAAACCCTGACCCTACTAAAAATACAAAAATTAGCTGGGCATGGTGGTGCGTGCCTGTAGTCCCAGCTTACTCTAAAGGCTGAGGCGGGATAATTGCTTGAACTTGTGAGGTGGAGGTTGCAGTGAGCTGAGATTGCAGCACTGCACTCCAGCCTGGCGACAGAGTGAGACTCCATCTCAAAAAAAAAAAAAAAAAGTGAGGGAGAAATAAAAGCTCATTCAGAGAATGATCCAGAGAAACAGAAACAGAGGGACCTCACTGCAAGCAGAACTGCACTACAATAAATTTTAAAAGAACAGTTCAGGCAGAAGATTAATATTGGTCAGAAACTTAAATTTACTTTTTAAAAAAATGTCAGAAAAGAGTAAATGAGTAAAACAAAATGTTTATTTTTCTTATTTTTAATTTATCTAAAAATGAATGTCTGTGAAAAGCCATACTAAAAATATAGTGTATGGTACAGAATATGTAAAACTAAAATGAGTGACAACAACATCACACGGGACTGGAGGGAGAAATTGAAAATATTTTGTTATAAGTAACTGTTCTACATGTTAATTGATAAAGTATTATTTGAAGGTATATTATTTTATTGTTTATTATAAATCTTAAACCAATCACTAGAAATGTTTAGAAAATAAATGTCATATTAAATAAGACATGATAATAATAATAGCCATTACTTTATAATAAACAAACAGAGCAAAACAGAATAAAGTAAAATACTCCTTTAACATCAGAGAAGGCAGAAGATGGAGGAAGGAAAGAAATTAAAAATGTAACCAATATTTATCAGTTACAAATATGAATGATATTATTTCACCTATATTGATAATCTCTTACTATGAATGGTATAAATATACCTATTAAAAGAAATAAATACTCAAAGTGGATCAAAAAATAAGCTCATATATAACTTGTCTATAGAAAACCAACATAAAATACAAACTCTTAGGTAGAGTAAAAACAAGGGAACAGAGAAAAACATACCATGCTAACACAAATCAAAAGAAAGTTGGAATAGCTAAATTAATTCAGATATATCAATCTTCAGAGCAAGAAAAATTATCAGGGATAAAGAGGGGCATCACATAATGATAAAGAGGTCAGTTCTCTAAAAAGACATAAAAATTCTTAATGTGCATGTGCCTAACTACTGAGCATCAAAATACCTGAGGTAAAAACAGGTGGAACTTCAAAGAGTAATGCATAAATCTGGGGCCGGGCGCAGTGGCTCACACCCGTAATCCCAGTACTTTGGGAGGCCGAGGTGGGCAGATCACAAGGTCAGGAGATCGAAACCATCCTGGCTAACGTGGTGAAACCCCGTCTCTACTAAAAATACAAAAAATTAGCTGGGCATGGTGGCGGGCGCCTGTAGTCCCAGCTACTCGGGAAGCTGAGGCAGGAGAATGGCATGAACTGGGGAGGTGGAGCTTGCAGTGAGCCGAGATGGCGCCACTGCACTCCAGCCTGGGCAACAGAGCGAGACTCCGTTATAAACAAAACAAAACAAAAACATAATCTACTATTGTAGCTGGAGACTTTAACACCTCTTGTTCAGTAATTGATAAAATATGCCCGTAGAGCAATTAGTAAGGGCATAGTTAACTTGAACAGCAACATGAATCAACTTGATCTAATTGACATTATAGAATATTTCCCCAACAGCAGAATTCACATTTTCTCAAACTCTCATGAAACAATTGCCAAGATAGAGCATATTCTTGACCACAAAATATAACTTTCTGAATAGAAATTATGCAAAGTGTGTTCTCAAACAATGAAATACTCTATTCAATGAAATAACTAGTTAAATTAATAACAGAATTGGAAAATCCCAAAATATTTGGAAATTAAACATCACACTTCTAAATAATATATGAGTCAAAAAAGTCTCAAAAGTAATTTAAACTATTTTGAACAAAGAAAAAATGAGAATTTATCAAAATTAAGAGATACAAATGCAAATTAGAGGCAAAGGTAAACATTAAATCTATATATTAGGAAGTGAGAAATCTAAAATCAGTAATTTAAAAAATCAATAACAAAATTTAATTTAAATTCAAACCAAGCACATGAGAGAAATTCTATAAATGTGAGCTGAAATTAATAAAATTCAAAACATAGAAAAATAGAAATAACAAAACCAAATGTAGATTCCTTGAAAATATTGATAAAATTGATAAGCCTCTAGACAAAATAACCAAGGAACTGAGAAAACAAATTACCAATATCAGAACTTGAACTGGGGTCATGACTACTCACCCATGGACATTAACAGGCTAATAAGGGAATACTTTGAACAACTTTATCCTCATAAATTTGATGATTTAGATAAAATAGGGCAATTTTTTGAAAGATGTAAACTATGAAAATTTATACGAGGAGAAACAGATAATATTGAATAGCCACATAACTAATTTTTAAAGTTGAATTAGCTGATAAAAACTTTCCAATAAGGTAAAATGCCAGTGCTAAGTTTCACTGGTGAATTCTATCAATCCTTAAAGAATAAATCATACCAATTTTATATAATAGCTGCTGGAAAAATGGAAAAGGAGGGAACAGTGTCTAACTCATTCTATGAGGCCAGTATTATCCTTATACCAAAACCAGTCAAACATCGAAGAAATCTATAAACAAATGCCTTTTATGAACATAGATTTAAAACTCCTCAAGAAAATCTTAGCATATGAAATCTGGCAGTATTTTATATATATATATATATATATGTATACAAAACATATATGTATACAAAATATATACATAGAACTATATATAAATATATAACTATATATAAACATATACCTATATATAAATACATAACTATATATATAACTATATATATATATATAACACAAATGGAGTTTATCCTAGGAATACACAAGAATACAAGGTAACTTCTTTCACCAAGGAAAGAAGACATACAGAAAACCTACAGGTTACATATTGAATGGTGAGAGACTAAATGCTTTACTCCCAGCATAAAAAACAAGACAAGGATTTCCCCTTCCCCCACTTCTATTCAACAATACATGTAAAGTCCTAATTAGTAAAATAAGGCAAGGGGAATAAATACAAAGCATAAAATTGAAAAGGGTAGACATAAACTTGTCTTTTTTCACGGACAACATCATTATTTATTTTTAGAAAAACCTCCTAGAATTAAAATGTGAGTTTAGTTTACAAAACCAACATTAAAAAGTTTGTTGTTTTCCTACATACTAGCAAAAAACAATGGAAATTTTAAACCAATAAAAATATTACTTACAATGGCACCAAAAAGGAGAATTACTTAAATATAATCTAACAAAATATGAGTGTGCCCTCTATGCAGAAAATTACAAAACACTGGCGAATAAAATAAATAAAAACTCAATAAATGGAGGGATATTCATATCATAGATTTGAATACAATGTAGTTACATTTACTGATATTAATTATAGCTCAATAAAAAAGTAGTGGGAAAGAGTTATAAATTGAGATCTCCCGGTTTTTGGGATAGCACAGGAGGTTAAAAAGCACACATTTACATATTCATATTACCACATTAAAGAGATCGAAGTTAAACACTCAAATATATTTATTTTACATATATTTTATTTCTTTCTAAAACCTCCACATTATATGGATCAATGTACTCAAATAATAAAGCTATAAGGAGCTTCTCTTTCTGCTCAAACTGTACTTAACTCTGTAGCAGTGGTTAAAAATTGCATGCATTAGTGATACACCCAGTCTACAGTCCTTTTTTGTTTGTTTATTTGATTTTTGCTGTGACTTGAATGTGTCCCCCAGAGTTTATTTGTTGAAAACTTAATCCACAACACAACATGATTAATGGGTGAGACCTTTAAGAAGTGATTAGGTCATGAGGGTTCTACCCTCATGTAGGTTCATTATTACAAGAGTGACTTCCTAAGAAAAGATTAACTTCAGTTCCCTTCCTCTCCTTCTCTCTCATCTACTCTCTCACTCTCTTGCCTTCTGCCATGGGATGATGTAGCAAGAAGACCCAGATACAGTACCCCGACCTTGGAATTCCCAGCCTCCAGAACAATAAAAAAATAAATTTCTATTCTTGTAAGCCATCCAGTCTCTGGTATTCTGTTATAGCAACACAAAATCAACTAAAATAGTTTTGGTTAGGTCCTAAGCCAATTTACAAATTAAAAGGTTATTTTCATTTTTTTTTAAAGTTGAGAAACTTTACATAGATTTCTAGCTTTAATTATTTTAGGCAATTCTTGTGACGCTGGATCCTCATTCCTAATAGCAGTAATCAGCTCCATCTGGAGGAAAAAATAACTGTCTTCTCTCTAGGCAAAGTCTGTGCCCGCTAGTTCAAAATTGGCTTGAATTGACTCATTTATTTATTTTTTTTCCTGGCATTGGGGGGCGTTTGAATATGCTACCTTTGTACTACGTTTTGCACATGGACTCGATAACTATGTCAATGTGCATTACTTGGATACCAACACACATTTCTTGACTAAAAATCCATCCCCAAGAAATTAAAACAACAAGCTTTGAATCTGGTCATATGTAAAAATCAAGAAGTCACTATACTTTACTAGCATTTCAGAAAAAAAAAAAATTCTGGGATGGTAAAGTTTCAAGCTGAAACATTGCAAGTTTTCAAATTTTTAACTGTTTCTGAGTTGCAACTTGATTTCAGACATTTCTGAATTAAATTTCAGTATTAAAATATTGTAAAAGTTAATAAATATGTAACATTCTATTTATTGAAAATGATTTCTGATTAATTTCTCTGTGGTATAATAAACTTAAGAAAAGTCAGTATTCTATATTCTAAAATAATTTTATATTATGTTTGTGTTTTTTAAAAACTGTGCCCTAATTAAAAACAGTGAAAAATAGCTGTGATGAATATTTGGTATAAAATGATACCAGTGACATTGCCCACTATCAAATTGAGAATGTCATCATGTTTGGCAGCAAATTGGCCCAATTCTGTATGTCATGCCAGTAATGTACCAATTAAAATCTCATGTGATTGGACATAAAATATTGAATGATAGACATTGGAGACTAAGAAGGGTAGGAGTGTGGGATGGAAATGAGAGATGAGAAATTACATAATGGATACAACACTCATTATTCAGGTGATGGTTTCACTAAAGGCCTGGACTTAACCGTATGACATATTATATCCATGTAACAAAACTGCACTTGTACCCCTTCAATTTTACACAAGTCAAAAATATAAAGTCTCATGTGGTGATGGTTTGTTAAGGAACACCTGGTCTCTCTTATGCAACATTCATTCAAGTAACATTTGATTGAAAATCTACTACATAATAGACATTTGAATAAGCCCAGGAGAGAGAAAAATGAGCAGGACAGATTATGGCTTCTCAGTTGCCCACAGTTAGTAGTTAAAACTGCAACTTCATAATTCCAAGCTATTAAGTATTTTACATTCTAACTTCTCAACTTTCAAGCTTTGGTGTTGATATTGATGAAGCGTTGTTATAGTGTATATTCAACTGCCGTTTCTTCAAAGACAACTCAAAGGCTATAATCCTTTGTAAGCCTCAAAGCTGATGCTTTGAAGTGAAGAATCAGTGACTTGAAAATGGAGTTACATGTGTTATTTAAAAAAATATAATATTATTTCCAACTAGATTATTTCAAATGTTTACATAACAAGATGCTGGGGAGCAGAATAAAAAAAACAAAAACAAAACCTGATTCTTCACCCTCAATGAGAACCAAAATGTAGATGTTTGTTTCTAATATTACTATTCTAATTTTAAATTTCTAACCTAAATATTAATAAGAAAACATATAAATAAAATGAGTAACCATGGGCTAGAGAAAAGTAGAATTTTATGAAATCATAACTATAGTAAGTTAAATTTTAAGGACCAAAACTTGTACTAAACAATAAAGGCTCTATCCAGACTATAAAATTATGTCTTTTTTGCCAGGGTTCATCTCAAGTCCTGATTCTGCTTGTAATTTGTATAACAGAGGATACCAAGTTTAATGAATTCAGAGGAATGAGTATGTGTGTTTGGGGAGAGAGTTTCTGTTACATAGATCTTAAGTTTTAGTTCTTCTAAAAATTCTGTCTTCATCAAAATTAATAAATAAGAATTAAGGATACCTGGTGAAATTCAAGTACTACTTTCAAGGAAGAATAAGTCCTATCAAATGCAAATAAAATAGCCACTTCCTTAGAGTTCACAAGTCTTTGCCTGTCTTCTTGTGTAAGGATATTGCAAAGGAAAAGTGTAGGATGACAATCATATGATCCTTTTGTATTTGTTGAACTCAGTTCAGACACCTGGATTTCTTTCAATAATTTTATGAACACTGTGGCTGACAGGTTAAGATTTTTAAATCTTGTGATTCTGTTAAAGTCAGTCATTCTGAGAACAAAATTAATTTCAGAATTAACTATTGTTAGGGAATGTGCATTTCTAGAAGAGCATCACACTTTACTCCTCAGAAAGGTCATGACAAGTAGGAGTAAGGTGATTATTCAGCTGTGCCAAGTGCTTTTCCTGGAAAAAAATATATTAGAAGCTAAAGAAAGCAGTGTGAAGCCCTATTCCTGCTACTCTCCAAACTTCCAATTTTCTTTATGATTTCATATGTTCACAGAATAAAAGCAAAGAGAGAATCCATTTTACTCTATTTCCACTTAAATGGGACCTTTTGAGATTAAACATCATTAAAATTTCTCGAGCAAAACTGGAATGTGGAACTCTTGGTTTTATTTCTCTTCTTTAAAGTTACAACTCATGGCAAGCTAAACTTCATGATTCCTTCAAATGCTGAGAAAGTCACTTAACTATGTTGTATCTAAACTTGTAGACAGATTTGAGAAAAGCAATTTCAGATGTCAAAATGAGAAAGCACTGAGGAGGAAAAAAGCAATCTTTTAAAATGCAATCTCTATGCTCTCTATGTTCTGATGCATTATTATCCCCTGTAAGGCTACCCTTTGATGTACATATCATTTCTAGGGTAGTCAATTAAAATATTAAAAGACCCTGGGGCCACATTATGAATTATAATTATTTGAGCAATCTGGTGCTCAGGTAGATAAATGGCTGTGTCAGAAAAAAATAGTTTGGAAATAATTATGCTAGTACAGGAAGAAGTCAAAGTATGTTTCTCTTGTTGAACTCAACACGGCGATGTAATTTCTTACACACCTCTTCGTTCTATGTCAGCTCTTTGAGTCACAGGCTGCTAACTTTTAAATTTTTTCAGAGGAACTCTGCAGATAAGCATACTTATTCCTATTTAAATTGCACCACAGATAAGAATCCCAGTCTATAAAAACAATCTGCCCGTAAATGCTTAACACACACGGCTTTAGAAAAGCTTCAAAGCATTTTCTCCTGCTGCCAGAGTCAACCATAACTTTTCCAATGTGACCCTTTCCAAATCTGATAGCATTTTCTGTGTTGTGCCATGCCAGCAGGCACATGGACCCAATTTGCAATCAGTGGACACTCTGTCTTTGAGGTTTATAAGCATCACTTTAGTACAAGATCTTACCAGCAACAATGAATATCTCATCCTTCCGGCAATTCCTAAGCATCTACATAGAAACATTACATTTGGAAGTTAAGAGATACTTTCCCAGTTAAACATGAGCACTTTAAATCCAAGAATTCAATAAAGAGGCTAGACCAGGCTGGGCAAGATAGCAAGACCCTGTCTCAAAAACAAAAAAATTAGACTGGCATGGTGGTGGTGCATGACTGCAGTCCCAGCTATTCAGGAGGCTGAGGTTGAAGGATTGCTTGAGCCCAGGAATTCGAGACTGCAATGAGCTCTCATAGCACTACTCTACTCCAGCCTGGGCAACATAGTGAGCCTCTATCTCTAACAAAAAAAAAAAATCAATTAAAAAATTCAATAAAAAGAGGAAATTTAATATTCTTTATCACAGTCTCAATACACAACGTATACTAATTCAGTATAAGGTGTAAACACTAGTAAAGCCAGTGGTAGACACTCAAGCAGTTTGATGAATAGCAAATACTTTTTCTGTAGAAAAGAATGAAGTGACTGTAATTAAATTTTATGAGGAATATATGAAAATATTTTAGGCTTAACATGCAAAGTGTAATGCCCAAGTCTTCCTATCCACTTCTCCAACAAATATTTATTACAACATACTATTTCATAAGAACTAAATTAGTCCCTGAAATATATACCAATTTTACAAATGATTCAAATCTTGAAATAATTGCCTGTGAAATTATAATTTAGCTTTAGCTTGAATTAATTTTATAATAAGCATAAGTATTTCTGCATCTTTAATAATTCATTGTATGACAATTAATTCTAATATATATTATGGCTATGGATAAAATTTGATAGCATTTTCTATGTTTATATCTATGTAGATATAAACTTTAATAAAATTGTACATATATGTAATATAATGTATTTGGACGTATGACATTTTCCCAGTTCTTATGAAATATTTTGTAACCCTATTAGATAAATAGACAAACCAGTTTCTTAAATGTTAATAAGAATGACATAGTATATATATATATATATATTTTTTTTTTTTTTTTTCTGAGACTGAGTCTCGCTCTGTCGCCCAGGCTGGAGGGCAGTGGCGTGATCTCGGTTCACTGCAAGCTCCGCCTCCCTGGTTCACGCCATTCTCCTGCCTCAGCCTCCCGAGTAGCTGGGACTACAGGCGCCCGCTACCACGCCCGGCTAATTTTTTGTATTTTTAGTAGAGACGGGGTTTCACCGTGTTAGCCAGGATGGTGTCCGTCTCCTGACCTCGTGATCCGCCCACCTCAGGCTTCCAAAGTGCTGGGCTAACTATAAAAATTTTAAAAAGAAGTTAAATAGCCATTGTTGACTAAATTGATAGACTTTTCTTGCAAGCAGATGCTAATTATGTAAGTTCTAATACTGTAAAGAACATATTTTTTCAGTAATTTATAACGCAGCCAGGATGTTACTTCAGTAGCTAATGTCTTTGAATACTATAAAAACAGAAATAAAAGAGGATGCACTCTTTATGGGGCTTCAGTTAATCTGAACACACCTGGAGACAACAGATTCAGCTTGCTAAAAAGCCTTTGTTCGCAGGCTCGTGTCTTCTGCTGGAGTCCCTGCCTCCTTGCAGAGCTTGCGCTAATGACTCTCCACCTCTGACATCTGTGGTGGCCTGAGTGCACTTCCAGAGATACACACCAAAATCAGGTAACTTGACCCTATATCCTTTTAACACTACTGACACAATAAATTCTCTGGTGCTACAATTTATCTGGACAAGAAAATAAATACGTGGTATATAAACTCATACTCCTTGAGAACAAGAAGCAAGAAAATGCTACATAAACTTCCTCTTTCTGTTTTCTGCCCTATGGTTCAAAGTGGATGAACACCTTTGTACTTAAAAGATTATGGACATGCGATGACCACAGGTGTCATTTCCCAAGCCTCTGTCTTCTGCCAAGAACCTGAGAACTCTAAACAGATGCTGCCCACAACTAATTATTATACATTAATTTCTTTCTTTCTTTCTTTCTTTTTTTTTTTTTTGAGATGGAGTCTCGCTCTGTTGCCAGGCTGGAGTGCAGTGGCACAATCTTGGCTCACTGCAACCTCTGCCTCCCAGGTTCAAGCGATTCTCCTGCCTCAGCTTCCTGAGTAGCTGGGACTACAGGCGCACACCACCACGCCCAGATAATTTTTGTATTTTTAGTAGAGACGAGGTTTCACCATGTTGGCCAGGATGATCTCGATCTCTTGACCTCATGATCCACCTGCCTCAGCCTCCTAAAGTGTTGGGATTACAGGCGTGAGCCACTACACCCAGCTATACATTAATTTCTGTTGGAGAGTGCACATAATATAAATTTCTGCTTTATTGAAACACAACTGGAAACATAAGAATATACAAAGTAAAATGAAAGAAAACACACCTCGGAAAACAAAAGAATCACTGATTATGGTGGATATTCTCTCTTGGTCTCTAAAATACTAGTAAAATTACTGAAAATATGTATTTATTCAATTTAATAAATATACATACAGGAATATATTTAATGAGCAAGTTGAATTTATTACACTGATTCTTAAAAAATTAAAACTCAAACTTTGGAAGTGGTTATTTCAAATATAAAAGTGATTTAGATGTACAAATTCAAATGTTTTTGTTAGCTTCAAGAACATGAAGCCTGGACAACATGGTGAAACTCTGACTCTACAAAAAATACAAAAATGAGTTGGATGTGGTGGTGCATCCCTGTGGTCCCAGCTACTCAGGAGGCTGAGGTGGGAGGGTCACTTCGAGGAAGGTAGAGCTGTGATCATGCCACGACACTCTGCACTCCAGCCTGTGTGACAGAGCAAGACCCTGTCTCAAAAAATAAAAATAAAAATAAAAATAAAATAAAAATCTGAAACAATTTCTGCAGCATCACTGTTGTAATATTGTGGTACTTTATGGATGTATATAGCCCCTGGTAATTTCAGAAGTGACAGGAATCCTACAACTTTTAAAAGGTTTCTTTGGATGTTTGTTTTAGAGAAAAAAAGAATCAGTGCCACCATCAAGTACTACCATTATGCTTCCATAAGTGACTGCAATCACTAATGGGCATGACTCCAGAAACATAACATTTCTCCTAAGTACATGTGGACCCTCCCCAGGGATTTCAAATCTGCTCAGGACTTAGAAAGTGGCATTAATGAAATGTCCCATTTAGCCAGAAAGTAAATACAGTGTTTATAAAGATCATAGGATATAATCAGTATATATCATAGGGTCGTAGGATAGATCAGTGTACAATACAGTGTGTATAGGAGAAGTCGTTTACATGAGTCCCCCCAAAGCCCACTTTTGCCATTTATAAATTCTATAATCTTAGGTATCTGATATTTAGTTTTCTTATCAGTTAAGTAGGCATAATTATGTTGCCTATTTTAACATTATGTGGTAATGAATCTGAAAATGTATAAAGATGTGTGTCGATTTTTAAACAATTCCTTTTACCCTCAGATATGTATCTGTACTATATATCTACACAAATCTGTATCGGTACGGACACTATGAAAAGGGATGCTCCCAAACTATCCCTTATACAGTGCTTGTACTCAAATTTTGTGAATGAAGTAGAAAGAGTTGATTTCCTGCACTCTGGCTATTCTGCTCCAGATGAGGAAGTATCTATTTCTCATGCTCAGAGGGAAGGTCTGTCTCTTTTGAAGTTAAAGCACAAGTTAGCACTGTGTTAACAGCTGCACAGCAAGAAGACCTAAGTGAAGCTTGGTGACCACTGCCCCATTGCCAGGACCGGGACAGAGCAGTTTCAGGGAGACAGAGGAGTCTCCCACAAGAGAGAAATTCTTATGCATGCCCATTTATTTTCTCTTTCATTTGTATTTTGCCTCCTGAAATAAACTTGTAAAATGTTTGCCTGCCATTTTTGGAGAGTATCCAGGTTAGAGAAGATACAGAAAATATTTTCTCTTCAACATCAGCAATATAATAATATACACGTAAGTGAAAATCAGCTAAAAGCTAGAGAAACACTTCATTTCACTTCTTGTCAGAAAGATAATCATTTATAAATTGTTTAATGTTTCTGAACTAGGGGAAAAACATAAGAGCTTTTTACCAACTTCTCTTACAGTACTAGAATGCATTATGTCCTAACTCGATCCCTGACTTTCTTTGACCTTTCTTTGACACTTAGACAATGGGAGATAAAAACAAAACAATAATGGATGCTGTTGCTTCATTATCTGGGAAACTAACTTTGATTAGTTATTTATACACATGCACACAAATAAATACATGCAGGGTGAAATTCATTTCAAGTAGATAATGCATGTGTAAGACTGCATATTTCAAAATATATTTGGAGCAAAAATAATTTCCATGAAGTGACATACAATAGAATTTCAAAATTACACAATTTTTAAAGTAGCATAACTATCAACTTAATATTTTATTTTAAATTATGTCAAGCATCACTATATATTTTGGGTTCATTTTAACAAATATTCAAAATTTAACCACTTTTTGATAAAATATAATATTACAGCCAAATTCTGGTATATATTCTAATAATCTAATACAAAGATAAAGGAGTATAAGATTCCATGATAGGTAAAAGCGAAGTAAAATTGTCCTCTCTATGATCAAGAGAAAGTTGAATGACTTATGAAAGTATTGCATTAGGAGTAATTGCTGGCAAAATTGTGCACTCAGCGAGATTAGCATAATTATTATAATAGACTGCATAATTGCTACCATATTATTCTATTCCCAACCAAAAACTTATTTTTCAGTTCACCAGAGGAATTTACTTCACTGCAAATTCAGCATGTGTTTTAGAGAAGAAATGTACAGATAGGAACCATTTATAGTAATGTAGTGACATTAAATTTGGAGGAACATTATATGTTGATAATTCTGATTATTTTCTATTATTCCTTTTAGCTATTGTCAGTTAAATCTCAAAATTTTATAGATGATAATAAAAGCTATAGAAAAAGTTTATTAAAATTGTGATTTCTGCCTCCAGAAGTGTCTTTCAAAAATATTTTTAAAAATTAAAATCTCTGATTTTGCACACAATTTTAATAGCTCAATGGATATTTCTTTACTTATGGAAGGAAGACTGAGTATTGTTTTTATTTATAGGGTTTCATAACTTAATATAAATCATAAAGAGTAAAAATATAATTTTTACCACGTTTCCTAGCCTTCTTGCCTCACTTGGAGACATTCAATATTCTGGACGTGGAATTTCCAGGGAGCATAGAGAGTAAGATGGTCAAGGTGGTTCAAAACCTGGCCCACTTTTCCTCCATTCCTTCTTCCTTACTACTGGAGACTTTGAGAGCCAGGTGTTTAGAGTGGCTGTGTTAGGATAAAAGGAGCCTTGAATTCTAGGACGTAACTACTGGAAGAGAGAGCAGACAAGAAATATCTGCGTTGAGCTTGGTGCAAGCAAGTTGGAAAGTTTAATATATATTGTGTTGTGTGATCAAGATATTAGAGCAGTTAGCCTACCCAGATTAATACAGCACTGAAAGCAGTGTTAAGATGCTTCCTAATATTTGTTAAAATATAACCCAAAATATATAGTGATGCTTGACATAATTTAAAATAAAACATGGATGTATAGATATATATATTAAATATATATATACACACATAACTATTAACAATATTTTCTATATCTTTAATATATATATTAAAGATATATTCTATATCTTTAATTAAAGTTGAGCATTAAAATGTTTCACATTTTTAACATTAAAGAGATTAAAATATATTTTAGCTTTGTTAGCAGAAATAAAAAAAATAAAATGATAGTACAACAGCCTTATAGTGACATCTACTGAACAACCAAATTCTTCCTTCAGTAATAAATATAAAAGGAGAAAGTATTTCTGTTTGCATAAGAGAACAAAAATGAATCTTCCTGAGTTTCCATATAGAATTAAAATATTAGCTTTGAAATTAGACAATCAAGTATTTCTTAGTTAAATGTAACAGTACAACTAGTTTAACAAGGAGACTATGTTGACATATCATGTTATATAAATTATTGCCAAAGCATGGTGCCACTCTTTTGTACTCATGATTTCTTCCAATTCTACAAGTTTAGTCTAAAGGAATATAGCTTTAAGTATTTTTTTTAAAAAAGGGTTTTATATGCCAGAAGGTGCTGAAAATGAGCAATGGATATATAGAACACGCCAAAAAGTTTAGAAAATGAATAAGACATATAAATCACATTTATGAGAGCAAGCAGGGTTAGAAAAATTCTGTTGGGAAAAACGGAGAGCAGCAAAGTTTAAATAAAAGTTTATAAAGAAATTTAAAAAACTATTTGGAGACATTTAAAAAGAAGTTAAAAACTGTTAAGAAAGGATACGTTTTATTTAAATTAATGCCAGATAAAATATATGGCATGGTCAATGATCAGTAGAAAAACATTAAATATTTTTATTGCTATCAAAATACATAGATTAAAATCTTTAAAAAATATTCATTAAACAATTCTCTAAATATATAAATAGATATTAATTAAAACCTTTAAAAAATTCGTTAAATATATAAATATATATTAAATAATTCATTAAATATATATTAAAATATTAAAACCTTTAAAAATATTAATTAAATAATTCTCTAAATATATAAATATTACATCGTATATTATTACCACATTATTATTAATATATTATAATATAGATGTATATTCTCTCAGGAGGCAAATATATTTTAGTTTAGCAGGCAATGAAGCCAAGATGACAATACGCTGAAGTCGCTGGTCTCATATTACAAAGGCAGAACAAGGTCATAAAACTTGGACGTTGAGCATCAACCCTAATGACCTTTGTAATACACAGCTCCCATTTAGGGGGAAAAGTGTGTTATTTAAAGGCTGACTTCACTTATTACAACACTTGGCATGTGTCAAAAACAGGGTCATTAGAATTCACCACTTAAAATAGTATATCATGACCTTGAGGCAGTCATCTACAGTCTTTCCTTGGAAAATAGATTTGTCAAGTTATTTAAACATTTTCTTTTATGTTTATTTGATATTTTTCTGTATATAATATGATTTCAAATATTGAAAGCCATTTTAGATCATTCTGTTGGTACATTTTAGTTTTTGTATATAACTTTAAACTATGAAAACAATTATGTAAATATCCAGCCAAATTCTAGTTATGATGCTTTTAACACTCTTGTTAATAAAGAACAGATGGTTGTAAGAAAAACTTTGTATCAATAGTATCAAAGTCTTAACGACACAGAAGGATTTTTAAAATTTTGTTTGAAGGTAAGTAGAAAGAGAATTGACCTTGACATACAGTTCTTAACCACTCAAAAGACATAAATATAGATGCTCTAATGATCTGAGAAGCTGCTACAGTTGGATTTGTGTTGATAGAATTGGAGCATAGTTTTAAAAATTCTGACACCATTTGTTAAAATTAATTTTCAGTTTTGTTACTGCCAAGAGGATCAAATCCTTGACTATTTCATTATATGTTAGTTAAAATTAAATGTGTTCTTTTCTTTTCGTCAGCAAACAAGTTTCTAAGCAATGTCTCCAATAAAGTTGATTTGTGAGCATTACTCTTCTTCTTGGCCTAAATTCCCTTCTCAAGTTCCCTGTGTGTTTTCAGGAACAGACTGGATGCAAAATAAATGTTTGTGATGATGTTGATGATGATGGTAATGATGATATATGAAAACTGATGACTACTGCTGTGAGGAATCATTACACATACACTGAAATCAAAAGAAAATCCAATGGAAGTTAGAAAGAGAAGATTACAAAATATCTCTTCTAAGTCAGCAAAGATAAAATAACATTCTTTCAAGGCATGTCATTGCATGCTTGCTTCTCACTAACTTTATTTTATATTTTTTAAACCTATTTTAACAAAACACATTCCTCTGATTTTAAACTTTTAACTTAAATGTTATAAATGCGAAAGTATCTGATCACTCCACTTGTTCAAGAAATATCTTAATTCAGTGGTCCTAGCTGTGTTTTATGAGAATCTTGCCTGTCTCCATTTATGCCAAGAAGATAAAAAACACCTCATTAAAACATATGTAATTGTAAATCTAATTTCTAAAACATGCATGAATGACTGAGAGACTAAATAAATGGATAAGTTAATTAATAAATGTGTACCTCTCAATGCACTAAAATTGAGAAAAATGGATTGTCACATTATCAAATAGAAATGATGTGGTGATGGGATTCCAAAAAGGAGTGATGTATTTTTTGCAGGAAGTTAACTTTCTGCTAACCTTGTTAACAAAATTAGGAATACTGGAATACTCATTTATGATGGTTAATTTTATGTATCAACTTGGCTGGGCTAAGGGAAGCTCAGATAGCTGGTAAGACATTATTTCTGGTTGTGTCTGTGAGTGTTTCTAGAAGGGATTGAGGATTTTTGCATTGTTGTTCATCAGGAATATTAGCCTGAAGTTTTCTTTTTTGTTGTATCTCTGCCAGGTTTTGGTATCAGAATGATGCTGACCTCTAAAATGAATTAGGGAGGAGTCCCTCCTTTTCAATTGTTTGGAATAGTTCCAGAAGAAATAGTACCCGCCTTCAATAAAATTCAACATCCCTTTATGTGAAAAACTCTCGATAAAGTAGGTACTGAAGGAACACACCTCAAAATAATAAGAGCCATTTATGACAAACCTACAGCCAATATCAGACTGAATGGGCAAAAGCTTGTGCCCATGAAATGGCACAAGACAAGGATGCCCTCTCTCACCACTCCAATTCAACATAGTATTGGAGGTTCTGGCCAGAGCAATCAGGCAAAAGAAAGAAATAAAGGACATCCAAATGGAAAGAGAGGAAGTCAAATTGTCTTTGTTTGAGATTACATGATCCTATATATATCTACAAAACCTCATCATCTCAGCCCAAAAGCTTCTTAAGCTGATAAGCAACTTCAGCAAAGTCTCAGGATACAAAAATCAGTGTGCGAAAACCACAAGCACTCCTACACACCGACAGCAGACAAGCAGAGAGCCAAATCATGAACAAACTCCCATTCACAATTGCTATGAAGACAGGGAAATACCTAGGAATACAGCTAACAAGGGAAATGAAGGACCTCTTCAAGAAGAACTATAAACAACTGGCTAAGGAAATCAGACATGACACAAACAAATGAAAAAACATTCCAAGCTCATGGGTAGGAAAAATCAATATATTGAAAATAGCCATACTGCCCAAAGTAATTTATAGATTCAATGCTATTCCTATTAAGCTACCGTTGACATTCTTCACAGAATTAGAAAAAAATTATTTCAAAATTCATATGGAACTGAAAAAGAGCTCCTATAGCCAAGACAATCATAAGCAAAAAGAATAAAGCTGGAGGAATTATGCTACAAACCATACTACAAAGCTACAGTAACCAAAACAGCTTGGTACTGGTACAAAAACAGACACGTGGAACAATGGAACAGAATAGAGAACTCAGAAATAAGACTGCACATCTAAAACTATCTGATCTTTGACAAACATGACAAAAACAAGCAATGGGGAAAGGATTCCCTGTTTAATAAATGGTGCTGGGAGAACTGGCTAGCTATATGGGGAATACTGAAACTGGACCTTTTCCTTACTACACCTTATACAAAAATTAACTCGAGATGGATTAAAGACTTAAATGTAAAAGCCAAAACTGTAAAAACCCTAGAAGAAAATCTAGGTAATACCATTCAGGAAATAGGCAAAGGCAAAGATTTCATGACGAAATCATCAAAAGCAATTGCAATAAAAGCAAAACTTGACAAATGGGATCTAATTAAACTAAAGAGCTTCTGCACAGCAAAAGAAACTATCATCAGAGTTAACAGACAACCTACAGAGTGAGAGAAAAATTTTGCCATCTATTCATCTGACAAAGTCTAATATCCAGAATACACAGGAACTTAAACAAATTTATAAGGAAAAAACCACCCCATTAAAAAGTGGGCAAAGAACACCAACAAACACTTCTAAAGAGAAGACATTAATGCAGCCAAAAAACATATGAAAAAAAGCTCAACATCACTGATCATTAGAGGAATGCAAATCAAAATCACGGTGAGATACCATCTTGCACCTGTCAGAATAGCAATTATTAAAAAGTCAAGAAACAACAGATGCTGGTGAGGTTGCAGAGAAAGAGGAATTCTTTTACATTGTTAGTGTAAAAATGACTGTGGAAGACATTGTGGAGATTCCTTAAAGATTTAGAACTGGAATACCATTTGACCCAGCAATCTTATTACTGAGTATATACCCAAGGGAATATAAATCATTCTATTATAAAGATACACACACATCTGTGTTCACTGCAGCACTATTTACAATAGCAAAGACATGGAATCAACCCAAATACCCATCAATGATACATTGGATAAAGAAAATGTGGTATATATACACCATGAAGTATTATGCAGCCATAAAAAAAATAATGAGATCATGTCCTTTGCAGGGACATGAATGGACCTAGAAGCTATTATCCTCAGCAAACTAACACAGGAACAGAAAACCAAACACTGCGTGTTCTCACCTATAAGTGGGAGCTGAACAATGTAAACACATGGACACAGAAAGGGGAACAACACACACTGGGGTCTGTGGAGGGGGTGTGGAGGGAGAGCATTAGAAAAAATAGCTAATGCATGTTGGGCTTAATACCTAGGTGATGGTTTGACAGGTACAGCAAACCACCATGGCACACATTTACCTATGTAATAAACCTGCACATCCTGCACATGTACCCTGGAACTTACCATAAAAGTAAAATACAATTTAACAATAACATGCATTTTTTTAATCACAGTGATGATTTCTGAAATGTCCTGTATGAGGCTTGTCTTTGGTTCTGCTCTTTAACGTACTACAATAGTCATCATAATGGTTTAGAGAAAATACTTTCCACTACAACTTATGGCACCTCTTCTCAGGACTCATCTTTCATTTCTTAAGCTTTATTATTTGATGCCATTTCTTATATTTGTCATTCTTTATTACAACATATAATATGTTAGAATCATCTATGAGTTGAGGAGAACTAGGGGAAGTTCCAATTGAGTAGAACATACCATGATCTACTTAACTTACCTATTATTCTTTGGGGTACATGTATTATTTGACTTTCTCTTTTCTTTGGTTGAGTTTCTTTATGCCATATATTAGCAATAGTTACTCAATAGCTTTAATATCCAAATTCTGTGGTGGCAAACTATCTCTGGTACACCCATTTCTTATTCCACCCCCCAAAAGAATAGTTCATTCTTGCACACACACAGTTTTATACACTTGATAGAGTATCAGCGAATCTTTCAACTCTATCATCAGATATGGCTAAAGAAATTAAACCTAAACTCAGTCTACATCTGTATTCACTTTTTTTGGATGCCAGAGTACACAGATTATCCAAGCAACATTCCTCTTAACAACAAGGGGAAGCGACTAAAATGTTAGAGAGTGGGACTCAGGGTTCAGATGGGAAGAGGAGCACAGTTATAGCTACTTAGCACAAACCTAGATTTTTATATTTTATCTTAATAAGAACTGGTTGTGTGGCTTTCTCTTTTAACAAATAGAACCAACTTAAATTTCACAACAGATTATGTACATAGTTTTAATAGTGTTTTTCACATCAGTTAAATTAAAATTGCATACTCCTCTTTGAAGTTCTGATTACTGAGACATGCACAGAATTTTTTCCCCTGGAACTACAGTTATAGAAGATAGAATAGAATAGAGCTTCCTAATAGAAGATATTCCAACCTGCCTATAACAAGCCTTACATTTGACAAATATCTGCTGTTTGATTAAGCTACCATGAGCAAGGATATTTTGTTTAGCATAGTATTTCCTAAGGATTTCAAACCACTGTTGATTAAACTTTAGTATTTAAATAACCTTCAACATTCCTTTCAAATGAGAAGCAATTCTAAAACCTTTTGTAATTTTGCATTTTATAGAATGGAAATGGTAACTTCACGTCACCAAAGAGTGGCAGAAGAGAAAAAAATCTAGACTTTTAAATCTCAAATCCTGCCTTTCTTGCCTTTAAAATATGTCCAATGTGAGAAAGAGATGTGTTTCTCATGGAAGGATGCCAGCAGGGAGCATGTCTTCCTTCAGCAGTAAGAGGTCAGAGTGGTTTATGGTTTTCACAGGCTGAATTCAGATGAGGCAGTTGGTCTGGATTCAGCTTTGTTTCTAAAAGCTCAGAGATGTTTTGTACTTATCCTTTGTTTTCTGCCTCTCTGGTTTCCATGGAAATGCAGGACTCTTGGAAAAAGCAAAGTCATGCACCTCATGCACAGGCAATGTGTGTTATTTCTGGAGTCAACTGAGTAGTGAATATGTCCCAAGATGTCAATGTGAACAGGTCCTGGAAGGGGCAGGAGGGATGCAGAAGGTACCATATCCAATTGTCTTATCATAGACCTTCATGTCCAGATAAGTTACAGGTTATCTGTCCTTCTACAGGAAATACAAGATTTATCTTGGTAAACATTAATCTAGACAGAAAAGAGAAGAAAATATAAGATGGAGAAAAAATTTAAGCAAGATTTTTTTGGCTTTACAAAATGTGTATTAAATATATTCTCAGGAGCTACAGAAATGACCCTTTTACTTAAGCTGGGATTTAAATAAAGGATAAACTTTAGATAAACTTTTCCACCAGAATATATAATTATATAAAGAAATTTCCTTAGTTGGATTAACACCTCTCCTCCTCCACACACCTATTTTCAAGATAAAAATCAAATTTGAATAATAATTTAAGGGAGAAAAAGTGTTTTTAAAAGGAGAAACATAAATAAAAATCTAACAATCATCTTATATAATGGGAAACCAATTTTTCATTTCTCTGCATTACATATGCTGATTCTTGAGGAAGAATTTATTTTAGTACCTTTTTCTCAATTTTTATTTTTGGTTTGTTACAGTTCTCTATCACAACCAATTTTATTACTATCATTAATAGAATTTATTAAATTCCATATAAATTCTTGGCTTTTAAGAGATACTTGGATATAAAATGTTACTTACATAATAATATGATTATTATAGAGTTAAATTAATACCCTTCTTTGTACAAAATAATGTGCAAAGAACTGTGTAAAGTAATTTTTTAAAGTATTCTTTCTCTAAATGTGATTACTATCTGATTTATTTAATAAATCATAAGCATAGGAAATAATAAAGAGCATACAAAGTGCTTTTGGATAAACCAATGAGTATGTACTGAAAAAAAATTATTCTACTGAAGGTTGCCATGTAGAAACTTATATTCAGTAGAACAGATAACCGAATGATTTGGACAAGAAAACCATGCAATTTGGCCCACACACGTAAGACAAAAATACATTTTTACACAAATAACTTTAAAAATTTTGTTTTGTATTTCCAGGGAATGGGAAAGCAAAAGTTGCAAATGAAGAAGAAATAAAGAAAATAATTCAGGCCCCAAGAGAAAGGAAAAAAAGAAAACTTTTATTATGAACTAAAGTTTAGTTTAAACATAATGACAAAATGAGGAAATAAAATTGTAACAAAGAACCAATTTTAATACTTAATTGTTTTAACAAGAGAATAAATAAATATGCCACTGGAGAAGAAACACCACAGTCAGAATTATATAAAATAAGCTTGACATAGTGAAAAGCTATAATGAACATATCCTCATGAAAACTATGGAAAGATTAATACATTTCAGCTAAGAATAGCTTTCAAGATTAGTTTTAAGTATTTTCATCCTTATAATGTACTTAATAAATGCATTCTTGATCCCATATATCAGACAAAAATGCACTTCTTTTTACTATATATATTTAAGCTGTACAACATGATGTTCTGATATACATATGAAGAAAAAATAATTACTACAGTCAAGCAAATTAACCTATTCATCACCTTTTATATTTACCTTTGTGTGTGTGTGTGTGTGTGTGTGTCTGTGTGTAGTAAGAGCACTTAACATCTATTCTTTCTGCAAATTTTCAAAATACAATACAATATTAATAACTATAGCCCTCATGTACTCTTTGATGTACTTCCTTTTTCCTTCCCATTGCTGCCCCTGGTAATTTACTCTTTCTTTCAATGTATCTGACTTAAAGGAATCTAAAAAAGTTGCACCCATAGAAGCAGAAAGTAGAATAGTTGTTTCCAGGTCTGGGGTCATGGGGTGGAGGGCGGTATTGGTCAAAGGATAAAAAAATTCAGTTAGGAGGAATAAGTCCAAGGGATCCAATGAATAACATGGCGATTATAGTTAATAACAGTGGATTGTATTGAAATTTGCTAGGAGTGTAGCTCTTGATTGTTCTGACCACACACACAAAAACAAATATGTGAGGTAAAGTTTGTGTTAGATTTCACCATTCCACAATATATACATATTTTGAAACATGTACACTATTAATATATACAAATTTTATGTGTGAATTAAAAAATCATTTTTAAAAAATGTGCTTGTTTATTTAAAATATAGGACTACATCGCAAGTGTCTAGAAACAGAATAAAAACAATGTTGTGATCCAGAAGTCGGCAGTGTCCATTACTAACCGTGGCTCTTGCAATTCAATATCATGGAGGTTATTTGCGACCAAAGCTGAATAAAGGGATTCTTATGTCTAGGCATCATTGTTTTCTAAGTCCTCTGGTCAGATTTAATGACATAGCAATAATTGGAAAATGTTCCATTCTGTAGGTATTGTTGTTTTGATAATTCAGTAATCAGCTGATGAAACTACTCTTATAAATGTCAACTATTTCCATTCTTACTTTGGGTAAAATGCTTCTGTTTGTACTCCTATGACATCTTCTCCTATATTTCACAATTTATTTATCCATTGACCATCCATATACCTAACTGATAACTAATAACTTAGACAAAAAGAATGATGTTTTTAGAAATTAAAAAAGGCTTTCCTTGAGATGCAAATCTTTCTGATTGGTATCATCATTCAGCTTAAATTTTTCCAATGTTCCCTACTCTATACATTTTGAAAATGTGACATGCATGTATATTCTTAACATTTACTTCATGCACCTGCTTGGTTACGTAACTCAGGTAATAACTTGAATTTGGCCAATCTTATGCTTAGTGAACTCATGTTAGCTCCCAGTGATCATTTTTCTCTTGGTTAGTATTGCAATACTTAGAAATAATTTATTTATTAACTTGCTTAGAAATTTTGTCCAAAAATGATGAAACCGTTTTTACAACTTTCTGACATGTCTTCCAACTTTTACAAATCAAATATTACTGATAGTGGCTTAGTGATCAGAGAACTAGATGACTAGAACAGGACTCTGAACTTGACAATAGAGCTCAGGGGCTCACTCTTCTCACTCTAATGTCCCCGCGGGTTTGTATGTTTTTCATAAATGTATCACAGCCCTGGAAAGATTCAAAGGTGGTCAGCAACCCTCCTAGGAAAAAAAGCATGGGGAAGTGGAGGAGAAAGAAATCTCTGAAATTTGAAAAAGCCCCATAGGTGTGATTGAGCACAGGGCCTAATTGCTCAACAAACTAATATCTCAGACTGCAAAATTCAGTGACCTATCTCTGGAATTCATTTAGTTTCTTAACATCAAGTGACATTAGGTGCGATATGATCAAACCTGTCTCATCTGTCATCTGTCAGGTCTTTGGAGCTATTAAGGTCAGACAATGAGGACGAAAGAGTACCAATAAAACTGCCAATAACTCTGTCTATACACAATAGAAAAATGTTTGAAGTGTAAATTAAAATACCCCTCATGAAACTATGAATAAAACTACATCATCCATTTTACCTTCATTACAACATTGAGTCACAGGACTGGGAATCTTAAGTTACAAGATAATTCTTTGGCTACGGATTATGCCATTTGAGATTTTATGGTACCTAAGTTTTATTTTCATCTTTGATTTTACTTTATTTTGACCAGGGGCAGCTCTTGCCTAAAACTAACCTTTCGCTTTAGTGACATTAAAGGGCTCAGAGTGTTACCCAAAGCAGAGATATAAGAACACCCAAGGAAAGAAATGAAGAGAATCTTCAGGCTTCCTTCAAACTTATCTCCTATTTTGTATCTGGGTAAGAAAAAATGTAGAAATCCAGGAATAATAAGTATGCATTTTGCAAGCTTGCCTCTGGGCAATCTCTCCCTGGAAACTGGCAGTTGTTGTATTAGTCTGTTCTCATGCTGCTATAAAGAACTGCCCGAGACTGGGTGATATGGTTTGGCTGTGTCCCCACCCAAATATCATCTTGAATTGTACTCCCATAATTCCCACGTGTGGGAGAGACCCAGTGGGAGATAATTGAATCATGGGGGCGGTTTCCTCCATACATTTTTTTTGTGGTAGTGAATAAGTCTCACAAAAATCTGATGGTTTTATAAGGGGTTTCCCCTTTCACTTGGTTCTCATTCTCTCTTGCTTGCTACCATGTAAGACACGGCTTTCACCTTCTACCAGTTTCCCCAGCCACATGCAACTGTGAGTCCAGTAAACCTGGTTTTCTTTATAAATTACCCAGCCTTGGGTATGTCTTGATCAGCAGTGTGAAAACGAACTAATACATTGGGTAATTTATAAAGGAAACAGGCTTAATTGACTCACAGTTCTGTAGGACTAGGGAGGGCTCTGGAAACTTACAATCATGGCAGAAAGGGAAGCAAACATGTCCTTCTTCACATCATGGCAGGAGAGAGAAATGAGTGCTGAGCAAAGAGAGAAGCCCCTTATAAAACCATTATATCCCATGAGAACTCACTATCACGAGAACAAAATGGCAGAAACTGCCCCCACGATTCAATTATCTGCACCTAGTCCTGCCCTTGACAAGTGGGGATTATTACAATTCAAGGTGAGATTTGGGTGGGGACACAGAGCCAAACCATGTCAGTGGTGAACCAGAAGCAGAGAGTGAAGAATGACCCTTTACTTCTTTAAGCCTCTGTTATATCACATGGACACGAAAAAAAAATTCATTTACTCCATCAGTTTGGGGAGTGTTTCCGATATTTAAATTGCAAAGTATGCATTCTTAATCATAGTCTGGCTACCAAGGAATTAAATGCAAGACTAAGCCTTCAATAATATTTTGTCTGGATCATACATGCTAGCTTCCTTATCTGGGCTTGCCAAGCACAAAATCAAAAACAAAAGGAAAAGAACAAGAGAAAGTGTATTACCTCCATAAACATTGGGTTTTTTGTGTGAGAACAAAGCCATTTGTGTGAAGGCAGAAGTGAGTTCCAGGTTACCACATACTTGGATTTTCGTGGTGCCTTCCTTACACTACTCTTCTTGCCTAGAGCGACCATGAGTGATGATAGCCCTGATATCAGAACCTCGGAACACAGCCAACTACGGCCATTCTTACCTGGCACTCTAGTAGTGACTTGCAAATTTACTCAAGATTTAGAGTCTGTAAAATCAGAAGAACTATCTTTCAAAATACTTTTCCCAAAGCAAGAGTGAAAATCGCGGAATGACAGTGGCCTACTGCAATATTGATTGTTGTTACAAGTGGAGGTAGGAGATAAAACATAAAAAATTACTAAAGAAAAGAGAAATTTTAGGGAAACTATTGCACTCATTTATTTTAAACATCTTTAGCTGAGTCACTTCCCCTCCTAATATTAGACCAAGAACCATACTGAGCAGATTACAAAGATAGTTTATTTCACCCAAGCATGAGAAGTGGCAGATAACAAGCTCCTGGCACTGTGTGTGTCTGCATGGAGATGCACACATTTGCTTATCATTCTATATAGATCTACAAGACTACTAAGATGTGGAGAAATAATTCTTAATTTTAAGCTTTCATACTAAAGCAAACCCCACACACTGTGTATGGTTTCCTGTATACACCAAGTCTCATTTTCCTGCCTGTCCAGGGCTGTCTTTCCTGACACTATTTTCCCTAAGACTTTATATTAATTTTCATTCAGCTAACTCTTATTCACCCTCTGAGATTCAGTTCAGGTGTCTCCTCCCCAGGAAACTTCATGAATTCCTGGGGAGTGTCTGTAAATGCATAGAATTGGGTCTGTGCTTCCAACCTTTACACATATGTGAACATTACTACTATCACCTCTCCATTCAAATGCTAATTCTTTGAGTGTAGGGATGAAGTCATACCAATTCATATATCCTCAGTGTCTTGGACATTCCCTGGTACACAGTAAGTATGGAACTATTTTTGGGTTTTAATTTTCTGAATCAGTATTTGTTTTACCATGTCAAATGCAATGATAAGTACAATTTGAAAAATTCCAACATTGACTGCCCCTTAAACATTATCAACCACAAATAGAAGATGCAATATTTTCTTGTTTCCTTTTTTCAGTTAATGTGGTAACTCATGTAATAGACATTTATTGATGCCTAGAAATTTCTTTAAAAAATGGAGAAAACAGGATTGGCAGAATTACTCAAAATTCTCAAATCATTCTGGAGATTATCATTTCTCAACAATTCTACTCCTAAGACCTACGGTTCTCATTTGTATATACTTGTTACAAGTCTCTCTCTTCATTTTTGATGACTTTAAAAAATATATAGACTAATCATTGAGCAACATGAGTCGATGCCTTTCCTACAGATTCTTCTTCAGCAAGTTCAAAGGTACAAGTCTGGTCAAGTTAGGACTTCCCTGTTCTGGCCCTAATCAATTCTAGGATGGATACTAGTACTTAGGAATCAAACCAGTTCCTTTTTTCCAAATATTTTATAGTAAATTCTATTTCATAGAAGGTCAGGAAATTAGCATATTGTATAAATCATTCCTTCTAGGACTCTCAAACCTGATGAAGAAATAGGATTTCCCATGATCAATATAAAAAAAAATAAACCTGTGGACTCCATTTAATATTTATGGAGTTAAAATGTCTTTGGCTAATTTCCAGGATCTGTATTTCTGGGGAAAAAAAAGCTTCTTTCCCGATTCTGATGCAGGTCAGGTCTGAGAAGCCTTGCTCTAGTCTAATTATTTCACTTTGCAAATGAGGATATATAAATGGAAAAATGCTAAACTGGCAAGACTGAGTACCTACAGCAATTCGGTGGCAGAAATGGAACCCATGACTTCTGATTCCTAGTCCAGTATTCCCTCATACACCCTCCTCAGTCAATAATATAACTTTCTTAAAAGAAGGGGAAGTGGGCTTGGATTAAAAAAAAAAAGAATAAGAGAGGATAAAAACAAGGAAAACCCTACTCTATTCATTATAATTTATTGGTGAAGTGAACCTTATTAAGAATATATTTTACTCCATATCTTGCTTGGTAGTATGTAGTCGTTAAATCCCATTTCTCCTATATTTTTCCTATGCTAATTATAAATAATTTATTTATTATTGTCATTATTATTTGAGACAGAGTCTTGCTCTATTGCTTAGGCTGGAGTGCAGTGGCATGATCTCAGCTCACTGCAGCGTCTGCCTCCCAAGTTCAAGTGATTCTCATGCCTCAGCCTCCTGGGTAGCTGGGATTACAGGCACGCACCACCATGCCAGGACAATTTTTGTATTTTTTAGTAAAGACGGGGCTTTGCCATGTTGGCTAGGCTGGTCTGGAACTCCTGACCTCAAGTGATCTGCCCACCTCGACCTCCCAAAGTGCTGGGATTACAGGCATGAGTCACCACACCCAGCCCTATAAATCATTTATCTATATACATCACATTCTTTATCTTGGCTCCGGATCAATATCTTTAGAGTTTTCCTTTGTGGGTGGTTTTGAGGATCTGGTGATCTGGTGATAAACTACCCATGTCAGTTTCTAACATCATTCTTGACCTTATAGACTGACTTGTCTCCTGATTTCCTTCATTTCCCTGCCTTCTTTTTCTGCTTACTGATCTGTGCAATTGGAAGTGCTGAGAAGGAGATTGACAAAGAAATGTGCATGTGAAATGCAGGCATGGGGAGGCAGGAGCAGTGCTGAATGATGCACTCTAAAGAGCATGGATCATGCAAGTCTGCAGAGTAAATGCAAAGATATTACATCAACTGACTATACAATACCAACCATACCTCAGAGCAGGCCAAGGCATGTATTACAGCCTGTTTCACGAATTCTTAAGGGATCCTGGTTTATGCATAACCAGGGGTCTGCACAGCCTGGACAATGTCAGAAGGTTGGTTAATTTCATGTGTCAACTTAACCAGGCCATGGGGTGCCCAGGTATTTGGTCAAACGTTGTCCTGGGGTGCCTGTGAGAACGTTTCTGTACGAGAAGAACATTTGAATCAGTACAATGAGTAAAGCAGATTGCCCTCCCTCCTGTGGGTGGGCCTCCCCCAGTCAAACTGAATATGTAAAGAGAACAAAAAGCTAAGTAAGTGGAAATTCTTCCTGCCTGACTACTTAGCTGGTACATCATTTTTTTTCCTGCCTTCAAACTCAAACCGAAACATAGCCTCTTCTTGCATCTTGAAACTGCCAGTTTTCAGGCTGGAACTACAGCAGAGGCTCTCCTGGGTCTCCAGCTTGCCTCCATCATCCCATGAGCCAACCCTTTACATATATATATATGTCAATGACTGACTAATAGAATCAGGAAGACAAGCCATTACACGCTCTGCATTTATATATAGGAGATTTTCAGCATATGTCTCAAAACTTGAAATATTCAATTATTAAAATGCTAAATTCTTTCTCTGTATATTTATAGCACTTAAAAATTGTTTTAGGCTGGGCATGGTGGCTCACACCTGTAATCCCAGCACTTTGGGAAGCCGAGGCGTGTGGATCACCTGAGGTCAGGAGTTTAAGACCAGCCTGGCCAACATAGCAAAACCCCGTCTCTACTAAGAATACAAAAATTAGCTGGGCGTGGTGGCATGTTCCTGTAATCCCAGCTACCTGGGAGGCTGAGGCAGGAGAATTGCTTGAACCTGGGAGGTGGAAGCTGCAGTGAGCTGAGATTGCACCACGGCACTCCAGCCCGGGCAACAGAGTGAGACTCTGTCCCCCCAAAAAATTGTTTAAAATCACTTATTAAATTTTTCTTAATATTCATACGCTTCTTCTGCACAGAAGTATATTTCTGGGAGCAGGCACCAAGTTTTACCTATTCCTTAAATAAGCCTGCCATGTTTACACAGACATTGCTTATAGAAGATTCTTGGTTATTATTGTTTGCATGATTATTGAATAACTCTTGCCTTCAAGCTGGTTTTGTGATTTGTACTCTAATTATTGTTTATAAAACTCATAGTCAAAAAACTAGTGTGCTTCCTCGGGCTGTGGATACAAAACATATTTTATTGATCTGATTGATTCTTTCTTCTCCAACTGTTGCATTAGGAATTCCAGCATCCCCCTTATAGCAAAGCATCAGTAAAGATTATATCTACTCACTTGTGTAAAAGAATACTTATTCCTCATGTATTCTGTATCCCAGGGATAGGTAGTTCAAGAAAAATAGGTCAAATACATTACACTAATAGGAGACCTGGGAACCTGAGTTTCTTCTCAGAGTCAGTATTTGACTTCCATTCTGAAAGTCACCCCATGTTTCAACACGGCTGCTGAAGCTCCTATCCTCATGTTTATTTCTCAGGCCAAAAGAATAAATTTCAAAAATCTTCTATTAAATAAATGAATTCCTTTTATAGCATTTCCAGATGTCTCATAAATCTTATCTCTCTAGATTTTATTTTCCAGAATTTAGTGATGTGGCCACACTTAGCTTCAAGGAGGATAAGGAATATAATCTTTTATTCTGGATAGCAGCAGGACTCCACAAATCAAAGTTCTGCTATTAGAGAAGAAAACAAGACTTCATAGTAGTCTGTGACTTACCAGTCCTCAACTATGTCTGTGAATCTGTCAAACACATGCTTCACTTGCTTTCACAGAACATTCCATAATCATCCATGATGCCTTCCTCTCTTGTTTTGAATTCCTCCTTGTCAAAATATAATGTCCTGGAAATCACTCCTGGGCACCATCATTTCCAATGCAATGTGCCATCAGAATGTGAACCTCAGTGTCTAGCCTAAGACTGTTCTAAACAGATATTCCCAAAGCCCCCATTTTCAAAGTTCCAGAGCAGATCTTAATTTTAGGCTGCATTGGGACGAGTGGTTTCGGTCCTAACTTAATATAGCTGTTTTAATCTGGACACAAAGGCAACCTGTTTATGCTCAAGCTCTTGGAGATTTCTTATGCAGCGTTTCTTTCCTTTCTGACTTTGACACTTTTCTTTTAAAAGGCTCCACTAGAGCTCAAGAAATTGAATACTGCACAGAGGTCAGGTTCCTATCTCACTCTTCTCCTCAAACCTCCTTTCTCCAAAACAGAGCACAACTCAAGCATGCCAACGCTGAGAGATGGGAGTAGGAGCTGACTCTTCTTCAGGTTCTGGAGAGTAGCCCACTGTGAGCCTTTCCTGATTATTTTCTCTGGGTTACAAAAGGGCAAGTGATTCCTTCTGCACCAAATTTGCTTCTCCTCAAAATGCTCTCTTACAGGTCATAAAAGCAAACTTTGAAAGCAAAGATATTCCACTACTAAGAGTTCAGACATCATATTGGTAGGAGATTGTCATATGATTAGACTAGATTTTAGAGGCACATATAAAAAATACATTCTGTTTATAAAAACACTTAGGTAGTTACAGAAACATAAACATAAATGTGAAAGCCTGAGGTTATGTTCGTTTTTCTATGTTCAACTTTTAAATGATTAAATTTAATCTCATGAAATATTTATCATATATTAATTGTTATATTCCTTAATCATATTAATATAAACATGTTAGTGTGGATAGAATAACCCGCTTATTAATTATTTCAGAGAAACCTATCAATTTGCTTGGTTCCTTAACAGCCAAATTTTAAACACAAACTTATATCAACAAAAGGCTCGCAAAGGGGAATAGAGATAGCAAGAAAAATATTTCGGAAGCAGTTTAACTTCTATGCTTAAGGGAAAACATGTTGGGGTTGGATCAGCTGTTCAAATAGTGTCTCAAACCCTCACATTCTCTGTGATTCTGGAAAAGTTAATTAACCCCTTTGTGTTTCTCTCAGTCTAAGAAGTGGAAATAATAACACTATGTAGCTCTTGAATTATTATACATCAATATCTTAAAACAGCACCTGGTGCACATTAAGTGTTGTATAAGTATTAGCTATTATCGTGATTAACTTGAAAACAATTGGGACACAATAAAAAAAATTCCCAACTGACGCTTGATGGCAGAAAACTTTAGCCAACTTTTTTATTTGCATAGAAGATATCAGTGTAACCCCATTAGAATTCTACTTCCACCAATGATAAAAAGGATAATAGCTACTCACCCCCTCAAATAAAAGCCTATGAAAACATGAAGAAACAAACAGTTATCATAATCAAATACCTTCTCTGTGCCCAGCATTTAGAGCCACAACTCCATGGCCTACTATTCACAATGTGATTTATATGAGTTGAATGCCATGGGTACCACTAACATAGAATCCAGGGTTATAGGTAGCCCTTGGAATTGTATGACACAAGAGTCATGGCATGATGCCAGCAATGTACATTATGCTACAAGTTTACTTGGAGAAAACATGCTTTTCAAGACTAAGGAACTTGCCCAATGGAATTTTTTCTTTTAGACAGAGTCTTGCTCTCTTCCCCAGGCTGGAGTGCAATGGCACAATCTCAGCTTACTGCAAACTCTGCCTCCTGGGTTCAAGCGATTCTCCTGCCTCAGCCTCCGGAGTAGCTGGGATTACAGGTGTGCACCACCATGCCCGGCTAATTTTTGTATTTTTAGTAGAGACGAGGTTTCACCATATTGGCCAGGCTGGTCTCAAACTCCTGACCTCAGGTGATCTGTCCGCCTTGGCCTCCCAAAGTGCAGGGATTACAGGCATCAGCCACTACGCCCAGCCCCAATTTAATATTTTAATTCAACAGCACCATCTCTTCATACTCTCATGGCATCATTCTACTAATATCAGCTATAACAAGTCTATACTTATAGACTCCAAAATTTAATAGCATATTAAAAACAAGAGCTTATCATTGCTTTTTTTATGTTAAGAGTTCATGGTGAGGCCAGATTAGGCCTCAAGAACTCCTGAGAACATATACAAGACCAAGATAAACCTGCTACTCTTGTTGGTTACGCAAAGTTCTTTCAGAAGTTACTTGGACATACTGAGAGAGAAAACCAGTAATCGTGAGTAATTACAGGACCAAAGCTTCTCACCTTGGGCACTGGGCATGGGAAACACCTCCAGGACCTCAGGGAAAGCAATTTAAGGAAAAAGAGGGGTAGCTTTGGATTTCAGCTTCTTTTCAAAAATGGTCATTCTTACCATCTAGGTCTTTTGTGTATGTCTTTTGATTTCTTTCGAAGTCTATTTTCCCTTATTTTCTGATGTTCCCAACTGGCACTTGTGATTAATGAGCAAATCACATGGCTACTGAGTAGGAAGACCCTAATACATCATATTCTGTGCTAAAGTCTGGGTGGAGAGAAGAGAACAGACTCACTTTATCTAAATGTAAAGTAGTGTCAAATTGGATAAAGAAAAGTTAAGAAAATATGAGCCTTATAAGCATTAATATTTGAATTTTTCAGCCCCTTGTATGAGTCAGCACAGGCTACATCATGTTATAAAAAGAAAATATTCCCCAGATCTCAGTGGCTTAACCCAAGGAAGGTTTGTTTGGGGCACATTCAAACTCTTCTTTGGCCCAGGCAATATGTCACAGATTCAGACCTTCCAGCCTCAATGCAATGATTCAAGTGAATAGAGACTCCAACTTCTTATAGTTGCAACATCTGGAATTTGTTGCTGCCTGGATCAACGGCAGCAGAGAAAATAAGTACTGTACAGCCCCAATGCTGGAATTAAATGTTCAGACCAGAAATGTGACAGGACATCTATTCACAACCCACTAGTCATTGTTAGCTACCAGGTTTTGTATAATCATAAGGCAATTGGAAAAGGTGACCTGGCTCCTTTCCCAGAGCAGGAGGATAACAAGGTGGGAGTAAGCATGACAGGTGTCTGCTCACACCATTTTATGATCAGGGATTAATTAAACATTTCTTCAGGTTGAACTTGGAGGGCAGAAATTGGGAAAATGTTGCTTTCAGAACAATTTTAATGTGAATATGCAGGACTATCATAATTCTATTAAAGAAGAACTGAAGTTTATATACAGTGCTATTAATTTATCTGTGTATATAGAGTTTTTGCTTTTTAAATTCATCTTTTAAAAAATTTTTATTTTCCTAATTCTCTTCTGTGATATTTTTCTTTTTAAGCTCAAGTGAGGTATATCCATTTACCTATCTGAAAGTTACACTAAAACTCTTTGTTGTTGTTGTTGTTGTTGTTGAGATGGAGTCTCACTGTGTTACCCTGACTGGAATGCAATGCCATGATCTCCACTCACTGAAACCTCCACCACCTGGTTCAATTGATTCTCTTCCCTCAGTCTTCCAAGTAGCTGGGACTACAGGAGCGTGCCACTACGCCTGGCTAATTTTTGTGTTTTTAGTGGAGACAGGGTTTCACCATGTTGGCCAGGCTGGTCTCAAACTCCTGAACTAAGGTGATCTGCCTGCCTCGACCTCCCAAAGTGTTGGGATTACAGGCACGAACCACCATGCCCGACCACTAAAACTCTTCTTAATAGGTTTGTATTCTACCTCAAATCAATATTTTTAAGTGTGCTCTTGCCTATTTTACAGAAAAAAGAAGTTGCTTCATAATGAGTGATGATATGTGTATATGTATATCTGGAACAAAATCTATATTTAGTAATTTATTTCTAATTTCTTTTTATTTGCTCTCAAATTTCTATGGGAAACTGTACCAGTTCCTATCTGGTGATATATGATCATCTATTAAAATTATGTTCATGATGATTATTAACTGTACTATATGTTGTTTCTGGAAATATATATTTTTGGGTTTAAGACTTGTATTTGACTGAATGAAAAGCAGAAAGCTGTGAAAATATTTTGAGCAATGTGATAAAACTATTCTCATTGCTTCTAATAAATTCCATCCATTAGGAAAAACCAGAAGGCTAAGAAGTCTGGCCTTCACTGCAGTGGAAAGACGTGAAGCTCCAACAATTGACAGGAACAGAATGCAAATGATTGAAAGTCCATGCAAATTGAAAGTTGGTCATGGACAGGCAGAATTCAAAGCTAACTGGACAAAATCTTATGTGGTGGCAGGATCAGGCATGATAGCAGAGTTCTCATCCACTATCCTTAATGTTCCCATCCATTACACCATGGAATACTATGTAGCCATTAAAAAAGAATGAGATCATGTCCTTTGAAACAACATGGATGGAGCAGGAGGCCATTATCCTAAGCAAATTAATGCAGGGACAGAAAACCAAATACCATCTATTCTCACTTACAAGTGGAAGCTAAACATTGTGAACACACAGACATGAAGAACAGAACAACAGACACCGGGGCCTACTGGAGGTTGGAAGGAGGGAGAAGAAACTACCTGTTGGATACTATGCTTATTACCTAGGTGATGAAATAATCTGTACACAAAACACCTGTGACACACAATTTCTCTATACAACAAACCTGCAAATGTACCGCTGAAGCTAAAATAAAAGTCTAAAAGAAAATGATGAGTTAATGGGTGCAGCACACCAACATGGCACATGTATACGTATGTAATGAACCTGCACGTTGTGCACACGTACCCTAAAACTTAAAGTATAATTTAAAAAAAAGAAAGATTCCCATCTGCGATGGAGAAAATGTGTTATGTACACTAACAATACTCTGCTTTAATATCTTGATTTTAATATAGAATAAAAATGAGAAAATCTCAAGTATAATAAGGCTTAATAAAAAAATGAACTATTTCCAAGCTATAGGTTCTAAGACAATTTTAAAATTTAATGACATATTTTAGATACTCTGTAACCTAGAGTATGTAATAATGATGAAAAACATGTCTTCAGTTCTTGATACAATTGATCTTTACCTTATTTATGTCCATTCTAAAAAGGTGAAATTGTTTAACTTGTTGATTAAAATAACTTTATTGTACACAGGCACATGATAAGATAAACACTATGAAATGTATTTATGTAAAGACAGTATTTAAACGTGATTCCTTCTTTTTCTAAGACAAATGTTAATGTCAATTTATATAAATTGAACATCATCGAAATAACATTTTCTCGGGTAATTTACCTAAAACTTTCAGATGCCACAAATAACTGTAATGGCTTATATACGGAGAGATAATTAGCAGGATAGTACTTATCAGAGCAAATATTGTCCATGACGTTGGGAGATACATTCTAGAATGCTTTAGGGGGCATTCTTATAAACTAGCCAGAAATATAAATTTTAATATTGACCAAATGGCCACAAGGTGGCAGCATCACATAAACGACAATACAAATGAAATAAAATTAACTTTAGTTGTACAAATATTGCTTTTATATATACCTTAATTTCATCTGATCAAAAGAAACAATAGCAAAATAAATAGTCTCTTCAGTAAAACCTGAGAGGCATGGATGAGTAAGGACCATTGTACATTTTGAAGTGAAAATAGTTTATTTAACTATAATTTCAGGAACATAGTCCCCTAAAAGGTAATTTTACAAAGAGGCCTAAAGAATTTCCCTTCCTTAAACAAAAGAGAAACATCAAAGTGAAAATTGAATAGGTAAGTTACATGGACAAATCATTCATTTACACCCACAAGTACAAGCATAGTACACAGGGAACTATAAATGAAGTGTGAGAATTTCTACATCAGCACATGCAAATGATATCATCATTATATATGGACACTTTCAATCACTTTGAAATTATATATGAATTTATCTGAATCAGTTAAAAAAAGTATCACGATGTATCAGATCAATGTCAATGCTGTTACGATTTCTGAACAGTTTTGTGAATATAAAGTAGATTGCATTAAAAATTTTTAAACCTGAATTTTAGCAGAAGATAATTTTGACTACAAACATATTCTAATATATTTTAACCAAAAGACTTGAAACAGTTTACTGTAAGAGGAAATACTTGAAAATATTAGACATTACTGATTCTAATTAGCTTGATTGTGTGAAATTGTGCATGCTTCTTCCTCTTTATATTTCAGCAGTGGAAATCCAAACATCAGTCCATCTGAGTAGAAGTCACTCATTCGTATAACTGAGATGCTTTGATTTCAGAGACATTTTGATTTCAATCCCTATGATTCAAAATCTCTCTAAATGTATGGTCAATTTTCCTAACTTTATAATCAGAATCTCAAATAGCAAAGAAACATTAATGTTGGATATATGATTGCCATTTGTGTTTATTGAAATTATTTATAGGTAACTGAATAAAACTATTAAAGATGTCTGAATTTAATTTAAATATATACTGGCCCTGGGACACAAACGGAAAAATTTAAATAAAGCATGCACACTACAGTAAGTCATCAATTTGCTTCCTTTTTTAAATATTTAAAATAAAATGTGCACAATAGTTATGTCTGACAATAAATTTTCAAGTTTGATTTTTCTTTGTCCAAAATTTTATATATAACAGGAATTTTTATTGAATGTCAAGCTAATTGATTTTATATTACATTATATGAAGTTACATTGTGTTATTATATTATACCATAATATATTCCAATATTATTTTTATTGTCATGTTACTAGCATCACACAGCATTGCTTTCTACTTTTTATCTCCCCACTGCTTTGTTGGTTATTCCTCTCCATTTATTGTTGACTCTGGCAACCCTTTATCTACCCCCAACATTGTCCTTTTTTTTTTTTTTTTTCTTTTTGAGACAGAGTCTTGCTCTCTTGCCCAGGTTAGAGTGCAGTGGCACAATCTCAGCTCACTGCAACCTCTGCCTCCCTGGTTTAAGCAATTCTCCTGCCTCAGCCTCTAGAGTAGCTGGGATTACAGGCGCCTGCCACCATGCCCAGCTAATTTTTTTTTGTATTTTTGGAAGAGATGGGGTTTCACCATGTTGAGCAGGTTGGTCTCCAACTCCTGACCTCAGGTGATTCACCCACTTTGGCTTCCCAAAGTGCTGGGATTACAGGCATAAGCCACCGCACCTGGCCAATTTTGCCATTTTTTTAAAAAAGATGATTACAACATCTAAAATATTTAGAAGGAAAGAATCTCTCTAATAAGATTTTCAGCACTCTAATGTATTTAACAGGCAAGTGATTTACTGTGATGTCCCTACAAGAGGGAGAGGGAGAGGAACGGTAGGGGAAGGGGGGCAGGGGACCAGCGGGTAGGGGAGAGAAAGACAGAGCTCTCTGGTATCTCTTCTTATAAGGGCACTAATGATGTCACTGGGGCTCTACCCTTATGACTTTACCTAAATCCAATTAGTTCTAAAAATCCATCACATTGTAGGTTGGAGCTTCAGCCTATAAATTGTGGGATGGTGGGGTAGGTGTGTAGGACACAATCAATGAAAAGCACTCATCACCTCTTACAACTCTTCTCTTCTTTGTACCCCAAGCAAGATGCAGTCTACAGTTCAGCTGCTTTGTCAGCAGTTTCCAAAATATGTCTCCCTCTCTATCCCATGCTCTACCCTGCCTTTGAGTGTGAATTTGCTCACTCAGCCTGAAATTCTTTATTCCCATCCCTGTGACTTTCTAACTTTAGGCCAATCCCCAGGGCTCAGCCCAGTGATCCTCTCTTTCGCTGCACACTAATCATTCTCTACATTTTCTGCTCCAGCACTGTGTAGATGCCTAGCATAACACACTGGCCAGCACTACAATCATCTCTCTCTCTCTTTTTTCTCTTTGAGATGGAGCCTCACTCTGTCACCAAGACTGGAGTGCAGTGGCGCGATCTTGGCTCACTGCAACCTCCACCTCCTGGGTTCAAGCAATTCTCCTACCTCAGCCTCCCAAGTAGCTGGAATTACAGGCGCATGCCACTGCACCTGCCTGATATTTGTATTTTCAGTAGAGATGGGGTTTCACCATGTTGCACCGGTGGGTCTCAAATTCCTGACCTCAAGTGATCCACTCACCTGGGCCTCCCAAACTGCTGGGATTACAGGCATGAGCCACTGCACTCGGCCTAAAATCATCTCTTATCTGTTGCCTATCCTCCACAGGGTACTAAGGTCCGTGAGGAGATGGGCATGTCTTGTATCTCATGACTGTCAGAGCAGGGTTGTTGAATGAGAGATCTGGATAATAAAGGGCCTGAACAGAAATGACAGCAGCCGCCTTTCCTTGCAGCATTTCCTGTATTAGCCAATATGACAGGAATCTGTCAGTACACCACCATTCTCAGCCAGCCAAGAGCTGAACCTAGGCAGCGGAGGCATATGACTGTATTTCAGAAATTGCTTTACTATTTTGTTGTATATTGTTGCTCTTATTATAGAAACATTAAAAAGGAAAAAGGAGATAAGATGAAATGCCTGCAGCTGTTTTATGCTTTTCTTTGCAATGCAGTGTTGCAGATAAGCCTAAACTCAAATTGCCTTGACCATGGTAGAAAGCTCAGTCAACAGTAATACAAGGAATGGAAAGTAATATTTGCAGCATGTTGAGGAAAGGGAGACGTAAAACTTTCTGGCATCATCTCAAGGCTATACTTTTACTCCTAGGCTTCATTGCCATGTGAAGTTACTCCTCATAAAGATGGCTGTGAAGACAGAGCATAGGGCCACTTGAAAGTAAGCCTTGACCTTTGCCCTGTGATATTTGAAACTTTAATGTACATGAAAGAAGTTGGAAAAAGTCTACCACACTTCAAAGCTAAAAGGGATTGGTCCAGCAACTTAAATTCATCTTTAGTGCAACAGCCCCATTTCTGGGGAAAGCCACATAAAATATCAGTGAAGTTTGCAAAAGTAAAACAGATAGAGAATTGATCACAAAAGAGAGGCTGGAAAGCCTGTGTAGGCTTCCATACAATGATGTAGAAAGGTTCTATGCTGGTGGTCAAAGCAGCATTTCTAATTTATAATGACTCTAGAGACCTATTTTATTTTATTCTTTTTTATTTTATTTTATTTTTATTTTTATTGATCATTCTTGGGTGTTTCTCACAGAGGGGGATTTGGCAGGGTCATAGGACAATAGTGGAGGGAAGGTCAGCAGATAAACAAGTGAACAAAGGTCTCTGGTTTTCCTAGGCAGAGGACCCTGAGGCCTTCCACAGTGTTTGTGTCCCTGGGTACTTGAGATTAGGGAGTGGTGATGACTCTTAACAAGCATGCTGCCTTCAAGCATCTGCTTAACAAAGCACATCTTGCACCACCCTTAATCCATTTAACCCTGAGTGGACACAGCACATGTTTCAGAGAGCACAGGGTTGGGTGTAAGGTCACAGATCAACAGGATCCCAAGGCCGAAGAATTTTTCTTAGTACGGAACAAAATGAAAAGTTTCCCATGTCTACTTCTTTCTACACAGACACGGCAACCATCCGATTTCTCAATCTTTTCCCCACCTTTCCCCCCTTTGTATTCCACAAAACCGCCATTGTCATCATGGCCCGTTCTCAATGAGCTGTTGGGTACACCTCCCAGACGGGGTGGCGGCCGGGCAGAGGGGCTCCTCACTTCCCAGCAGGGGCGGCCGGGCAGAGGCGCCCCTCACCTCCCGGGGTGTCTGGCCGGGCGGGGGGCTGACCCCCCGACCTCCCTCCCGGACGGGGCGGCTGGCCTGGCGGGGGGCTCACACCCCCACCTCCCTCCCGGACGGGGCGGCTGGCCTGGCGGGGGGCTGACCCCCCCACCTCCCTCCCGGACGGGGCGGCTGGCCGGGCGGGGGGCTGACCCCCCCACCTCCCTCCCGGACGGGGCGGCTGGCCGGGCAGAGGGACTCCTCACTTCCCAGTAGGGGTGGCTGGGCAGAGGCGCCCCTCACCTCCCGGACGGGGTGGCTGGCCGGGCAGGGGCTGATCCCCACCTCCCTCCCGGACGGGGTGGCTGCCGGGCGGAGACGCTCCTCACTTCCCATACGGTGTGGTTGCTGGGCGGAGGGGCTCCTCATTTCTCAGATGGGGCGGCTGCCAGGCGGAGGGTCTCTTCACTTCTCAGACAGGGCGGCCGGGCAGAGACGCTCCTCACCTCCCAGACGGAGTCGCGGCCGGGCAGAGGCGCTCCAGCGGGGCAGAGGCGCTCCCCACATCTCAGACGATGGGCGGCCGGGCAGAGACGCTCCTCACTTCCTAGATGGGATGGCGGCCGGGAAGAGGTGCTCCTCACTTACTAGACGGGATGGCGGCCGGGCAGAGATGCTCCTCACTTTCCAGACTGGGCAGCCGGGCAGAGGGGCTCCTCATGTCCCAGACGATGGGCGGCCAGGCAGAGACGCTCCTCACTTCCCAGACGGGGTGGCGGCCGGGCAGAGGCTGCACTCTCGGCGCTTTGGGAGGCCAAGGCAGGCGGCTGGGAGGTGGAGGTTGTAGCAAGCCGAGATCACGCCACCGCACTCCAGCCTGGGCACCATTGAGCACCGAGTGAACCAGACTCCGTCTGCAATCCCGGCACCTCGGGAGGCCAAGGCTGGCGGATCATTTGTGGTTAGGAGCTGGAGACCAGCCCGGCCAACACAGCGAAACCCCGTCTCCACCAAAAAAATACGAAAACCAGTCAGGTGTGGCTGCGCGCGCCTGCAATCGCAGGCACTCGGCAGGCCGAGGCAGGAGAATCAGGCAGGGAGGTTTCAGTGAGCCGAGATGGCAGCAGTACAGTCCAGCTTCGGCTGGGCATCAGAGGGAGACCGTGGAAAGAGAGGGAGAGGGAGACCGTGGGGAGAGGGAGAGGGAGAGGGAGAGCTATATATTTGCTAATTATATTTTCTGTTACATATATAACTGTGCATGTATTTATTTTTATATCTTAACATACAAATAGTTTAGTTTTCTACTGCCCCTTCCTGTTCTAGATTTTAAATCCACCCATGTCTCTTTGTTGTCATCTAGAACAGTTTCTTCTAAATGTTGCAGGTGAAATTTTTACCTCATAATTGTTTAAGGTTTTATTTTTATTTATTTATTTATTTTTTGAGACAGAGTTTCGCTCTTGTCGCCCAGGCTGGAGTGCAGTGGCGCCATCTCCGCTCACTGCAACCTCCACCTCCTGCGTTCAAGGGATTCTCCTGCCTCAGCCTCCCGAGAAGCTGAGGTTACAGGCACCCGCCATCACACCTGACTAATTTTTTGTATTTTTAGTAGAGATGGGGTTTCTCCATGTTGGCCAGGCTGGTCTTGAACTTCTGACCTCAAGTGATCCGCCTTCCTTGGCCTCCCAAAGTGCTGAAATTACTGGAATTACAGACGTGAGCTGCCTCACCCAGCCTTATTTTTATTTTTGAAAGTCATAATGTAGAGTGTGCTGTACCTACAAACAGCTGTTTATAGAGAGATGTTTCTGCTGCTGTGAGCAGCTACTCACAGGATCAGGAGCTGGGACCATGTAGACTATAAGAATGATGTGAAGGCAGGATGAGCTCCGTGGAGGAAGAGTGACAAGAACAGAACTAGTGTGGCTCAAACTAGACCATCGATTTACTCCACTTGTGTCATTTAATGCTGAGCAGTCCAGAGTTTTAGAGATATTTTTTTTTAAAATAGAAATATCTTCTATAATCATGGCATGTCTTTCAGTTCTGAATAGATTGCCCTTTCTGAGCCAAAGAATAGCTATCCAGCTTTGAGAGAAGGCATGAACTCTGACCCAAAGGATAGTTCTCAAACATCAGGGAGACATGCAGATCCTGGGGAAGAATCTACATTTCTTCCCTAATGCCCTAGGCTGAGATGAGAATGGAGGGATGTTTCCTCTTTATCCCTTTCTTTCTTCAACCTGGACTCAGCAGACTCTAGGAATGTAAAATGCCTGCCTAAGTGGCAGGTTGACCCTGTCTTCTGCTACGGACTATGACTTTGTAATCTGGCAAGGGGGCTGGTATAGCAAGGGCGGGTCTCCTGTATTGAGGTCTGAGGGCTCAGCAAAGCAGAAGTAACTTAGAGACAGACATAAGTTTCTCTATGCTATAATTCTGTTTCTCAACAATTGACAAAGTTTTAGAAACAGTATATCTGGACTCATTTGTGCTGTAGGGAATGGGAGGAGGAGAAGAGCAGGTATCGTTTCTGCATTGGACCTCAGCAGTCAAGGGGTGAGTTGTACCTCCTCTGGTCAAACTTGGGGAGCCAGCTGCAGCCAGAGGGAGTGTCCGTGATCTGGTGACTACAGACAGAAATCACGGGCAGTGCAGAGCATCCACCTGTGCTCCAGAGACAAACATCGGCTCAGGCCCAGGCAGCACCTCGATTTAATTTAAGAAAGTTTGTGGGAGACTGAAAGATCTGCCAAAGTTTTCACATCTACGTCATGACTGTTCTAGAACAAGTAGTAAGTTCACTTAATCTATATTCAATCACTAAAACCACACACACAAGATTTTACACATAGAAGTGAATATATATGCTATTTATATAACTTGCAAAAAGTGAAAAAGAACATCCATGTGACTACCATTGATCGTAGGAAAAAGAATATCTCCACACACTTTGAAGTATCTATGATTCCATTCCAATCACATCTGTTTCCTTCTCCCCAATAAAAATACTTTCAATGATTCCTTTACCTCTACAATCATCTCTCATTTATAGAGAATATATGACTTCTCATATTCTTCACTTTAAATATATGTGGTAATCAAAATATGTTTCATTTTGCTTTTCCCTGATTTTTGTCACATGTCAATTAAAATTTCCATCTAAGAACTTGACATAAAATCCAATTCAAAGGTAAAAAAGAGGACAATATCTCCAACCTACGAAAGAGCAGCACACTGTTTTTTTGTTTGTTTGTTTTTTGTTTTTTTTTTGAGACAGAGTCTCGCTCTGTCGCCCAGGCTGGAGGGCAGTGGCGTGATCTTGGCTCACTGCAAGCTCTGCCTCCCGGGTTCACGTCATTCTCCTGCCTCAGCCTCCTGAGTAGCTGGGACTACAGGCGCCCACCACCATGCCTGGCTAATTTTTTGTTTTTTGGTTTTTTTTTGTATTTTTAGTAGAGACAGGGTTTCACCTTGTTAGCCAGAATGGTCTCGATCTCCTGACCTCGTGATCTGCCCACCTCAGCCTAGAGCACACTCTTTTTTACTGTATCTTTTCCTTGCATGCCTTCAAAATCATGAAAGCAAATTTTATTTTCAAATGTATTCTGATTATACTTTCCACAGTGTTTATGTTACTTGATTAAGGAAAGCAAAGCTATATTTTTTATCTACTACTTAATTCTCTTTCATTGGTCCCTAAAGCCCCTGGTCCTTTTCAAAATGTTCTTTCATCAGATTCAGAAAGTAGAAAGAAATTGGCAGCTGAAGGAGACAGTGGCAGGGGAAGATGGAAATGAGAATAAAAAAATTAGCCAGCTCAATTTCAATAATCTTCTCACATGCTGTTCATTCTTTCATTTACAAAAGTTTATTTAGATTCTGCCTTGTGCCTGAAATTCCGTGTGTTAGTGGAGACTTATAAAGCATAGTGCAGTCCCATTGGACTAAATTCCCTAACAAGAAATGGATGATGAAAAAGCTGTAGTGTCTTGAAAAAGATCCATAATGATGTATATTGATCTTCATGTACTACCCCAAATCTAGAAGTGAATACTATCGTAGGCTGAACTATTTCACCCCAAAATTCTGATAGCCCCTCAGAATATAAATGTAGTTAAGTTATATTCTACTAACTAGAGATTAGCTCTTTAAAGGGGGTGATTAAATTAAAATGAGGTCATTAGGGTGGGCTCTAATACAGTATGACTGATGTCTTTATAAGAAGAGGAGGAGATACCAGGGATGCACTCAGATAGAGAAACAACCATGTGAGGACATGATGAGAAGACGACCGGCGACAGAGCGAGATCTCAAAAACAAAAGAAGCCGGCCATCTGCAAGCTAAGTGGGGAGAATCCTCAGTTGAAAGCAACCCTGCCAGTACCTTGCTCTTGAAACTCCAACTTCCAGAACGATGAGAGAAAAAATTTCTCTTGTTTAAGCCATTTGTACGGTCTGTGGCATTTTGTTATGGCAACCCTAGCAAACTAATATAAATACCTAAGGTGACAGCAATTTCAGAAATACTTTATATACTTTGGATTATTGCCAACTAATTTAAAAATGTATACTTGTTACGCATTTTGTAAATCCTCTATTTACATTACCCTCCATGCATTCACATTTTGCATTTTTGAGCACAGTTGTAATTCAGCTGCATGCACACCAGGTGGCAAGCATGTTCTGAGTCTCCATTCCTCATTTGCAAAGGATGAACTCTGTTCTAAAACCAGATGACCATAATGCACTTTTAACACTTTGTGTGTTCTACCAAAGCATGGGCAGAAACTTAACTTGTGGGGACAATAATGTGGATATGTGCATCAGGAATGAGATTCTGCCTCAAATGAATCTTCCAATTCCACTGTGTCAGACTCAATAGGATTCTCTTTGTTCTCTAAAGGATCTATTTACTATGCAATGTTAAGTCCGCTAACTATGCAATTCAAAGTCAGCTTTTAAAAACACTTTTGTAGTTGCAAACCCATCTACTATTTTTCAATCTTGATATTTTAACACATTCCATTGAAAAAACAATCATCATATATTTTTATATCTTGAAATACAAAATTCATTATCTGCATTAACATAATACTTAATATTTTATGGGTAATTTTTGGTAGTAGTGGTTGAAAATGGCAATAGTACAGCAACAAATTCACCCATCTTCTTGATTTTGACCCAGGAGATTAACTTTTTTTCTCTAACTCATAATGTTTTTGCAACCAGAATTTTAAAGAATGTACACTGACTTTCTTTTCAGCTTTTTAAAGAATGAACAATACAAAATGCATTGGTATCTGCATTATCAATATTGTTTATCAATCAAGTTGTCATCAGAAATTATTATTATTATTATTGTTACTATTTAGAGACAGTCTCACTCTGTCATCCAGGCTATAGTGCAGTGGCATAATCATAGCTTACTCACTGTAGCCTCAAACTCCTGGGCTCAAGCCATCCTCTTGCCCCAGCCTCCCAAGTAGCTATAACTAAGAGCACACACCACTACACTCAGCTAATTTATTTTTATTTTTAATTTTTGTGGAGATGTGGTCTCAATATGTTTTCCAGGATGGTGTGGAACTCCTGGCGTCAAGTGATTCTCCCACCTTGGCACCCCAAAGTGCTGGGATTACAGGTGTGAGCCACCACACCGGACCAGAGTGTTTTTTAGAAACAATTTTATCTGTTGGCATAAATTTCAAGGAATATGCAACTTTCTCAGATATGAATTCTCATAGAGTTATATACTAGTGTACATGAAGCTATTCTGGATAGTCATCATCCATATTTATCCATATTTTCCGAGGGGAGGGAAGGGGGGAGAGAGAGAAAGAGAGAGACAGAGAGGGTGGGGGATGTGCATATAGTAAGCTTAGTAGAGTCAGTAAGGCGGGTCAGTAATGAAGTGTTAGTGGAAAAAGTAGGAAATGTTATATTAGAGAAGAAAACTAAACACATTGCTTATTGCCCTTGTGGTCTCCCTAATAAAAAGAGTAACACTTATTAAAGCTGTAATTCAGAAATTACAGCTACAGTTGGAAATTGTTAGTGTTTTGCTTATTCTTCTTTAAGATACTAAAGGCAATTCTCTTAGAAGAGAGTGATTCTACTGGGATTTACCCACAGGAAAGGGGATATAGAAATTAAGATAGCCTTGCTCATCAGTGAGTGGAAGTTAGAGCTCCACTTTTCAGGAGAGAAGACCAGCTCTTTCCATTCAAGGGCCTAAAGGAGAAGTAGTAGGACACTGAGGGAGACTGAGAGTCCTTGATGGTCCCTGCCTACAAACTGCAGAGTCCAGGAATCATCTGAATCACAGAAGGCATTGAGTCCTCTATACCAGGAAAAAAATGGCTAAGTACAAATATCTCACCAATGCCAAGAACAGAGGCCACTCCAACTCCAAATGCTGAAAGCTGACTCAGGTAGAAGAACATCATTCTGTTGTTGATTCTTTGGCTGTTTCTATCCTTCAGATGATCAGTGGCTAATATTCTAGTTGAATATTTACATATTATTTTATGCTTCAGTGGAATTTAATTCATTCATGTGTAGGGAACTATGTTAAATTAATAGCTTTGCATGAATCTAGGTCATAATTCAGAGCCAAGCACTCAGGGTAAAGTGAATATTATCTCCTTATATTGTAGTAAACTTTCAGGTGAACAAAACTTTAGAGTTTAGTAAGAAAAAGTAGGAATTGCAGCCTCCACTCTACCTACTTGATGCCCATCCACACAGAGTTGTTGAACATTTGCTCTGTAGGATGCACTGAGCTCATATTTTGGACCAAATTGCTAGGGATTCTCTCTCTCTCTCGTGTGTGTGTGTATGTGTGTGTGTGTGTGTGTGTGTGTATGTGTGTGGGTGATGGGTCATTTGCCAATTTAGTGTTTTTTTTTTAATCATATAATAGTAATAGTTATACTAAAGGGGAAATACATGGGCACATGCTTAAAAGAAAATGAAAAACCCATATACACATCGGCTCAGATTTTTGCTTTTCTACCTTTTTGTAGAAAAAAATACAGTGCCACATTCCCAATAAGAAAGGCTACCAACAAAGAAAAAAAGACTTGGCATCTAGCATTATCCAATATCAGAATTTGTTTTGCTGGATAAAAAAATTAGGATTATAGTGGTGGGTAAGCTACTGAGTTTTGCAGTGTTCTGAGAATTTCTAGGCATTATCAGATTAATTCCTAAGAAAGACCTTATGGAATATGCATTGTCATCTCTATTTTATAAATAAAGCAGGAAGACTAAATATGTCCAATGTCACAAAATTAGTCGCAGAACTAGAATTCAATAAGCCCATGCTCTTTCTCTGGTTAAACCAAGGGTCTTTCAATGCCATGAACAATGCTTGCAAACCAAATGTAGTATTTGGTCCCACAAATTACTGTATCTGCTTACTGTCAGATATAATAAACATCTTATCATAACTCTAGATACTACTTTAACCTATTTGGTTTGTGCTTTATTGACAGCATCAACTCTAAAACATAATCTCTTCTTGAAAATATATGAAATTTACCTACAGCCATCTGACCTTCGACAAAGTAGACAAAAATAAGCAATAGGAAAAGGACTCCCTATTCAAAAAATGGTGCAAGGATAGTTGGCTAGCCATATGCAGAAGAATCAAACTGGATACCTTCCTCTCATCATATGCAAAAATTAACTCAAAATTTAAAAGATTTAAATGTAAAACCTCAAGCTATAAGAATCCTAGAAGAAAACCTAGGAAACACCATTCTGAACATTGACCTCAGAAAAGAATTTATGACTAAGTCCTCAAAAGCAATTGCAACAAAAACAAAAATTGGTAGGTGGGACCTAATGACACTAAATAGTTTTTGCACAGCCAGTGAAACTATCAACAGAGTAAACAGATAACCTATGGAATGGGAGAATATATTCCCAAACCATACATTTGACAAAGGTCTAATATCCATAATCTATAAGGAATTTAACAAGCAAAAAAAAAAAAAAAAAAAAAAAAAACCATTTAAAAATGGGTAAAAGACATGAACAGTCATTTCTCAAAAGAAGTCACAAAAGTGGCCTACAAACATGAAAAAAATGCTTATGTCACTAATCATCAGAGAAATGCAAATGAAAACCACAATGAGATACCATCTCACAGCAGTAAGAATGGCTACAATTAAAACGTCAAAACACAACAGGTGCTGGCGAGGCTGCTGAGAAAGGGGAACACTTACACATTGTTGGTGGGAATCCAAATTAATTCAGCCACTGTGGGAAGCAGTTTGGAGATTTCTCAAAAAACTTAAACTAGAACTACCATTTGACCTAGCAATCGCATTACTGGGTTTATATACAAAAGAAAGCAAATCATTCTCCCGAAAAGACACATGCAGTCATATGTTCATTGCAACACAATTCCACAATAGCAAAGGCATGAAATCATCCTAGGTGTCCATAAATGGTGAAATGTATAAAGAAAATGTGGTACATATACACCATGGAATACCACGCAGTTCTAAGAGAATGAATTCATGTCCTTTGCAACAACATAGATGCAGCTGGAGGCTATTATTCTAAGTGAATTAGCACAGGAAAAAAAAAAAAAAAAACAAATACCACATGTTCTCACTTGTAAGTGGGAGCTAAATATTGGGTACTCAGGGACATAAAGATGGTAACAACAGAAATGGGAAATACTAGAAAGGGGAGGGAGTAAGGGAAGAAAAGGTTGAAAAAGTGTTGAGTACTATGCTCACTACCTGGGTGATGGGATCATTTGATCACCCCAAACTTCAGTATCATGCAGCACACCCAGGTAACAAACCTGCACATGCACTCCCTGAATCTAAAGTAAAAGCTGAAAAAGAAGAAAATAGGTGTGAAACAGATTATAATTTCTTATGGCAACAGACAATCTCATTAAACATCAGATCCAATAATTCATTTTTAAAATTCTAATTAGGTATTAATCTACACACTTTAGAAAGAGGCCAGGAAATTAAATTAGTTTTAAAATTTAACAACGAAATAATTATAAATAGTATGTGTACCCTATTTTGCAAACAAAATAAAATTATCATTTTATTCAAATGGTAATACCACTTGTGATTGTCAAATAAATGTTTCTTCTCAGTGACATTACCATTTGAATCAAAATGATTATTCAGTGAATTCGCAATCTTCACTCAGTCTCCATTTTTAGTTTGTTGGATTAAAAAAATGCTTCAAGGCTTTAAATCCTTCCAATGTAGTAGACATCAATGTTTTTTCAGTACAATAAGATTTTTCATTATAATTGTTACTTCACTATTTCACCTGTTTAAAATTAATATCTAATATGAGTATATATATATAAATAATTATTTATGCTAGGACTTAACTACTTCTGAAGTACTTTTTTTCCTACAATAAAATAAAACTGCTTCCCATGGAAGAACTTGTCCTGTGATTCTCTATGAATGACAGAATGAACATACATGTACTAGCATCAGGAAAAACTCAAATTGCCAGTGAATTAACTCGTTGAACTCATTGTTCTGTGTTGCTTTACTCTGACAGACAGTGTATGTTTCTACCTTAAACTATGTCATGTGGTCAGAACAAGACATGAAAATAAAGATCTAGTCTAAGGCCCAGCCTATAAAACATCAGAAAATAAAACAATATGGACGAATGTAATTCAAAAGTTTCTATAAAATTTGTTTCATCTCTGTAATTCTCTTTCATTTTATTTGCTTTTTAGAAATTTCAAGTTAAGGAAATTCAGTTGTACTTGTTTCTGGCATGTGGGCATTCCTCTAAAGATGCGATAAACAGAAAAACAAAGTCTGCCATAACCATTCAAAGCAGGAAAGGGCAACCTCGAAAAACATACTTATAATGATATTGATGCATATTTTAATAGAAAAATAAAACTTATTTTAGGGAAATCTCTGTTCTGTTCTAAAAAATTCCCTCTTTGTGAACCCTTGAATATTTAAAAACATTTAAGAAATTGACCCCTCCATTTATATTTTAATAAGAACCTTATGGCTTATATTTATATCATCTGTTCATTAAATAGGTCATCACTTTTAAGAAGCCAAATATTTCAGTTACTCCTGGCTGCAGAGCAGTCATTTTAAGTCTATAAAAGAAAATACAGGAAAAAAAAAAAGAATTAGTATCTCTGGGTGTCAAGATTAACTTAAAGTTTCTCCCTAGACATTATGTCAACAGATCTTCTTCCCTTCCTTCAATAGAAGCAGTAAGAAGAATTTCATGAGCCTATAAATTTATTACCCCTAGAGATGTAAAAAATGGATTAAAACTCTTCAAATTCCTTCACACCCTTCCCTATTGTTGGAGATACAGACAAAGCAGTGATGACTTATAATGACAATGTGTTTATTAAGAAGAGAGAGAATGGTGGTATAAAAGTTAGATATGGAAAGTGTGGAGCAGGTATAGCTTAAGCTCTATGGGCATAATTATCTTAATTGAGCAATGCACTAGAAAATGATTATCTAATTCACTGGTTCTCAGCCATGGTTACACATTAAAATCACCTGGAATGATTTTTTTTAAGAAAACACCCAAGCCTGAGCCCAAGTCTGAGCACAAGTACTGAGGCTTCTGACTAATTTATTGTCAGTTGAAGCCTGATATGGTTTATCTCTGTGTCCCCACCCAAATGTCATGTTGAATTGTAATTCCCAATGTTGGGGGAGAAACCTGGTTGGAGGTGATGTGATCATGAGGATGGATTTCCCCCTTGGCTGTTCTCATGATAATGAGAGCATTCTCAGGAAATCTATTGTTTTAAAGTGTGTGGCACTTCCCCTTTTGCTCACCCTTTCTTCCTCCTGCTCCACTATGTGAAGATTGTGCCTGCTTCTCATTCACCTTCAGCCATGACTGTAAGTTTGCTGAGGCCTCCCCAGCCATCCCTCCTGTACAGTCTATGGAACTGTGAGTCCATTAAACTTCTTTTCTTTATAAATTACCCAGTCTCAGGTAGTTCTTTATGGCAGTGTGAGAATGGACTAATAGAAAGCCTAATATTCAATGTGTAAATTACCCACTCCCCACACCTGGTGTTTGTAATGGACAGCTAGGAATAAGAATCACTGCTCTTAATTTTGATAAACTGTTCAAGTCATAATATTGCTCCAATTTGTAGGGAAAATTTACAAGGTTTGATTTATCTTCTTGATTGCTACAGAATATTTTTCACTCATTTAGATTGACCACCTATCCGTGTGGCTTACCTAAAAGATGTTGAAAGTATATCAAGCCCAACAGGAAGGAAGAATTAGGAATATAAATGATGGTTTATAGATGAGGCAGTTGATTGTTTCATTTACCTTTGTGAAGAGTGATGAAGGAATGGAGACGTTACTTTAACTTAATAGAGACACATTTTGTTTAATTATAAATTATGTGTCTTATGGAAGAAAGATAAATTAGAAAACCAAAAGAATTTTTGCCAATATTGAAACTCAATTGAAGAGATAGTTATGAAGTAACCTGGGCAAATGATTTAGGACAATAGAATCATTTTTTTGGAAAAATGTTTTTATATCTTCAACTATTATAGGTGTTCTTTGGCATGGTGGAGGAATATACTGATCACAGTGAAGATCCCAGGATGATATTAAGGGTTTCCTGACAAAAACTCTTGTCACAATAGCCCATTTTCTTGGTGATTTATGAGATTATAGAAGTTGTTGCTCCCTAATGTCATTTGACCTTGTACAGGGTCAGGTCATCTCTTTCATTGTCTAATTACTCTTAACTACATTTTTTGTCATTTTTGTTGCAATGTTTTGAACAATCTGAAGATGGAAAAAATAAATTTAGAATTTCAGGGAAGACATCTTTGGCAAGATGGGCATTGTATAAATATATGTAGTGTGTGTGATTTTAGAAAATAAAACTTTTCACCAATGGTGGAGGGAATCTCCCAAAGTACAGTGAGTAGAATTTGAATTTAACATCATACTTTTGTTTTCCTTGATGAAAATCTAGACCTATCCAACTTAAGTCTCAGGAATTAAAACCTTTACTGTATGTTTACTCTGTCTTGCAAATCATTGTTGCACTTTTTAAAACTTTGAAATAATTTATTTTTATTCATCAGGTGCAGATGAGGTGATGTAATTGCAGAATTTATTGATAAACTATTGAAATAGCAGCTTTGCTCCAATAACCTTCAACATTTCTTAGAGTTATGTTTTGCTTTATGCTAGTATGTAGGTTTTCAAAATCGCTAACACTTTCGTTGTTTGTGTGTGATTTCTAGGCCAATGGATCTGCTAAAAAAGCTTTCCAGACTTCCATTTTTTTCAAGTACCTTTACGATTTCATTTTTAAATGTTTATTTTGAATTAAGATGTGGGTAAAAAATTTAACCTCTATTTCCCACTGATAATGACATGACAATATTTCATAGACTAAATTACCTGTCTATTGATCTATTGTTAACTTCTAGGAGAGCCATTAATTTCTTTTTTGTATAAAAGACTTATAATCACTATAGTTTCATGTTCTAATTTTGTAACTACTAATTTCACATTTTACTACTTTCTCATGATTTTGTGATTATTTTAGTACTTACTGTTTACAAATGACCTCTTGAAGATAGAGATCAATTGAGGAGAACTGATAACACAATTTTGGATTTTCTTACCTAAAAAAAAGCTATTTTCTGTTTATTTCCTTAACTATTCAAATATATCTTAGGTGTCAAGTAGGTTTTACCCATATCTCATTAGACTTATTTTTTATTTATTACATTTCTGTCCTTATTGCATATAAAATGATAATTTACATTATATTACTAGTTAATTATTCCTAAAAATAGTACAATTAATCTTTATTTTTTACATCTATCTTGCTAGTTTTTCTCATTGGTCATAATCGTACTTTGTAGTTCTGATAGTAACTATGTTACTCAGGCCCATTTATCTAGTGACCCGAAAGGCTGCCAGTTTTGAGTGGGTTTTATGCGCAAGCTGCTCTGCCACTTGGGCTATATGACCCAGCAGATCCAATGATACTTGAGTTGTCAATGGGAGATAGGGATTGCTGTTTGGAGCCTTTGGCAGGCCCCCATAGGTGAATCACAGTGGAGTCCTCTAGGATTATGAAGTAAGGTCCTGCCATCTTCTGCAGATAACTACTCTCCTTTTGAGAGACAGCTCTTGGCCTATTACTGGGCCTTGGTAGAAACTGAACATTTGACTATGAGTCAACAAGCTACCATGCAACCTGAACTGCATATCAGGAACTGGGTTATTTCTCTACCAACCAAGCCATAAAGTTGGGCATTCACAGCAGCATTCCATCAACAAATGGAAGCGATATATATGTGATCGGGCTTGAGCTGGTCTTGAAGGCACAATTAATTTACATGAGGAAGAGGGCCAAATGCTCGTGGTCCCCACCCATCCTACCTTCTCTCCCTCAGCCTGTGCCGCTGACCTCATGGATCATTCCCTTTCATCAGTTGACAGAGGAAGAGAAGACTAGGGCCTGGTTTACAGAGAGTTCTGCACAATATGCAGTCACCATCTGAAGGTGCACAGCTGCAGCACTACAGCCCCTTTCTAGGACATCCCTGAAGGACAGCATTGAAGGGAAATCTTTCCAATGGGCAGAACTTCAAGCAGGGCACCTGGTTGTACACTTTGCTTAGAAGGAGAAATGGCCAGATGTGTGATTATATACTGACATATGGGCTGTAGCCAATGGTTTGGCTGGGTGAGCAGGGACTTAGAAGAAGCATGATTTAAAAATTGGTGACAGGCCGGGCGCGGTGGGTCACGCTTGTAATCCCAGAACTTTGGGAGGCCAAGGCGGGCAGGTCATGAGTTCAGGAGATCGAGAGCATCGTGGCCAACATGGTGAAACCCTGTCTCTACTAAAATACAAAAAATTAGCTAGGCGTGGTAGTGTATGCCTGTAGTCCCAGCTACTCAGGAGGCTGAGGCAGAGGAATCGGGGAATTGCTTGAACCTGGGAGGCAGAGATTGCAGTGAGCCGAGATCGCACCACTGCACTCCAGCCTGGTGACAGAGTGAGACTCCGTCTCAAAATTAAAAAAAAAAAGGAAAAAAGAAAAAGAAAAAGAAAAAAAAATTGGTGACAAAGAAATTTGGGGAAGAGGTATGTGGATGGGCAAAGTTCTCCAAAAGCCTGTGTATGCACTGAATCAACATTCAATATATGGTACCATTTCTCCCATAGCCAGGATTCACGGGTCGAGGAATCAAAAGACGGAAGTGGAAGTGGCACCACTAATCACCCCTAGTGACTCACTAGCAAAATTTTTGCTTCCTGTTCCTGTGACATTACATTCTGCTGGCCTAGCAGTCTTAGTTGCAGAGGGAGGAATGCTGCCACCAGGAGACACAACAATGATTCCATTAAACTGGAAGTTAAGATTGCCACCTGGACACTTTGGGCTCCTTCCACCTTTAAGTCAACAGGCTAAGAAGGGAGTTACAGTGTTGGCTGGGGTGACTGAGTAGGACTATCAAGATGAAGTCAGTCCGCTACTCCACAATGGAGGTAAGAAAGAGTATGTGTGGAATACAGGAAATCTCTTAGGGCATCTTTTAGTATTACCATGCCCTGTGATCAAGATCAATGGGAAACTACAAGAACCCAAACCAGGCAGGATGACAAATGGACCAGACCCTTCAGGAATGAAGGATTGGGCCACTCTACTAGGTAAAAAGTCATTGCCTGCTGAGGTGCTTTCTGAAAGCAAAGGGAATACAAAATGGGTAGAAGATGGTAGTCATCAATACCAGCTATGACCATGTGACCAGCTGCAGAGAGGAGGACTGTAATTGTCATGAGTATTTCCTCCTTATTTTGTTAAAAATATGTTTGTGCATGTATACACTTGTACTGAGAAAATAGCTTTATTTTATTTCCTTTCTTTTTCCTTTATCATTTGACAGAAGATTTATTGACTTCATATCAGCATTTAAGTGTTGTTAACTTTATGTAATAGCATTTAGGTTAGGGATTAGTGAGCTTCTGGTTGTAGGAAAGATAGCTGTGTTATATTAGGCATAATTATGACCTTATTATTGTCTTCACTTGGAGATTATATATGATTTTGGGAGATGTTTATGGGTTGAAGTTCATAAGGCGTGGACTTGTGATAGTTAATATTAAGTGTCAACTTGATTGAATTGAAGGGTGCAAAGTATTGTTCCTGGGTGTATCTGTGAGGTTGTTGCCAGAGAAGATTAACATTTGAGTCAGTGGACTGAGAGAGGCAAATACCCTCAATTTCAGTGGGCACCATCCAATCAGCTGCCAGTGTGGCTAGTAAAAGCAGGCAGAAGAAAGTGAAATGAGCAGACCTGTTGAGTCTTCCTGCCTTCATCTTTCTACTGTGCTGGATTTCTCCTGCACTCAAACATCAGACTCCAAGTTCTTCGGCTTTTGGACCCTTGGACTTACACCAGTGGTTTGCCAGGGACTCTAGGGCCTTCAGACACAGACTGAAGGCTGCACTGTCGGCTTCCCTACTTTTGAGGTTTTGGGACTTGGACTGAGCCACTACTGGCTCCTTGCTCCTCAGCTTGCAGATGGCCTATTGAAGCACTTCACCTTGTGATCGTGTGAGTCAATTCTCCTTAATAAACTCCCCTTCATATATACATATTTTCTATGATTTCTCTCCCTCTAGAGAACCCTGACTACCACAGTCACCTTCTCCTCTGCAGTACATTTTTTTAGGAGTTTACAGGTATAAAATAAAAGCAGATGCAGTCAATAAGTTGGATTATTTTTTCTAATACTGTACTTCTGATTTTTTTTGCTACCTTGCATTGGCTTTTACTTCCACTAAATATTAAATAATAAAGCTAATAATAAATAATAATAAAGCTAGTAAGCATTGCTTTATTGATAGTGGTTTTATATGTAAATGCATGTGTGTGTGTGAGAGAGAGAGAAAGAGAATGAGAGATTAGGTAGAGAAAGAAAGAGGACTTACATTGAATATTATCAAAAACATTTTGACTTTCTTTTTCTTTATTTTTTTAACAGCATGAACTCCTCTGGAGAAAGCAGGTTCTCATTTGTGCCATTATCTATCTTCCATTGGTTAGAAGATAACGAGAATCAAAAATCATAATCTAATTTCTCGTAATATAGAACACAACCTTGAATAAAATAGACATTCATTATTTGGGAGGTATAATTGAATTCCTGTTGTGTCACACATAGAAAATACTTCTTTAGATGTAGCCCCAAATAAGCAGCTTTTGCAAAATTGTTGTTTTTGTTAAAAGAGAATAACAGATTCCAAAGGCTTAATGGATCCGTAAGATTATATAATCTAGAAGAAAACAAAACACCATTATAACACCAGAATGATGTTAAACTTCATTTTGAAATTAGATATATATGCTTTCCACACTCTTTCTAAGCATTTCAAGTTGCCACAGCTATCGGGAATCACTTCATGCCACAGCATTTATAAACATGATGTTATTCAACGGTTTGAGCAGGCTGCTGAAAGTGTGCATTGTTACACAGCATCTCCATGGCCATTGTAGTCAAATGGAGGAGAATTATACCTACTGAAAACTGACCCATATTTGCAATAATGCTGGACATTTACAATTCTGGAAATTTACAATTCTAGAAAAATCACTAGAGTGAATTTTCCTTGCTTATCTTCACGACAATAACCACAAAATTCACAGCAGTGTATTAATTCAAAGAGACGATACTAATGCTGCCCCTGTGGCTTTTTCCAACCTACTCAGGTGTTCTTTTAAGCCATCCACAATCTTCTAATGACATTACCTTAAGATGGTGCATTTCAAAGGTACTATAGCTATAGCCAATGGTAACAAATCCCTACATATGAGGCTGCCAATGTAATATGAGAATTCCAGAATTTGAACAGAGTCATTTGAAGCCTAGAAATTGCTACCTACAAAAATAGTTCACATTACATTCCTTTTGGTTAAATTCTTAAAGTGTATGTGCTTAACTCTTACTGAAACATGTCTTTCTAGAGGCAAAATAAAGGAGACTGAAAATGGGGAGGCAGAGCACAAAGGATAAAAAAGTATAATCTTAGTACTACTTTTAAATATGAGCAACTTTGTTTTAACTCAAGTGCATTGCCATGAAGGTACTGAACGAAGCCCATGTCCCTTATTTGCACAGGCTTCTTTCAAAATTCAGGAAGAAGCCAGGTGCAGTGGCTCATGCCTGTAATCCCAGAACTATGGCAAGCCATGGCGAGCAAATCACCTGAGGTCAGGAGTTCAAGACCAGCTGGGCGTAGTGGCATGCACCTGTAATCCCAGATACTCGGGAGGCTGAGGCAGGAGACTCGCTTGAACCCAGGAGGCAGACGGTGCAGTGAGCCAAGATCACACCACTGCACTTCAGCCTGGGCTACAGAGTGAGACTCTGTCTCAAACAAAAGAAAAAAAGAAAATTCCAGGAAGAGACTGGAAGAGTGTGATATGGCCATAAAATGTGTCAGGGTAGAGTATTTTAACTGCACTTGGCTACCTCTACTGTCTCCTCTCATCTGACCACCCCCACGTGCTTACATGTTTCCCCTCTTGCCTGCTGCTGTTGCCATGTCCATACGTATTACTGAAATCCAATAAAGAAGAGGGTGACTGGGGGCACACTTAGTTTGAATTTAGTGGAATATATTTACAGGATTCACAGTCACTTTGAGTATTATGAATTTACTGCTAGCCTTCCCAGTGAGTCAAGGGCTTCCAAAAATATGTCTATACTTCTTGCGCCAACTCACTTTGCATAGTGACATGCAGGTCCTGGCCCAGAAGAAGAACTGTGAACTGAAACACTCCCTGCAGCCCCTCGCACCGAATGTGTGGGAACAGCAAGGGAGCAGCAAGACTTGGAATAAATAGAACCAGAAGGTAGCCTGAAGAAGACTCTTCTCATCCTCAGCAATGTAAAAATGTATGGTGGATTTGTTTCCCAACAAAATCTAATCAAACAGAAGCTCACTCCTCTTAGAAATATATTTTGAAATAGGTGTATAAAAATATCTTTATGGCAATCTTGCAAAACAGAATTAATTGTAATTCTGGTAAGGAACTGCAAAACCTGCAATGCACGTGAAAACAGCTCACACATGAAAAAACCCATTTAGATTTTCTCTCAAATGGGCAATCCTAAAATTACACATGACATTACTATTAAAGAGGAGTGAAGGTGAAAGAAAATGTTCCAGACTAACAATAATAAAAAATAAATCCTGATCATAGGAAAAGGTTTTAAAGGAGAATCGAGCCAAAGTATTAGGAGAAAACAAAGGTCAAACAGTAATTAATAAAAATATTGTAATGCTTTTCCAGATTTAGTGATTTTTTTTTGGCAGCTTTTCACAAATTGCAATTTTTATTCCTTGTCTCATTGTGAATAAATACCCCTCCCCTTACTGTATTCTTTTCCTTGAAGAGAATTTCTAAACTCATAAAAGTTGTAAAGCTCCACAAATTCTGAATCTACCCGTGTGTTAGTTGTAGTGTTGGTATCATTATTTTATAAATAGAAAATTCATTTCTGACAATGAGAACTATAAATTTGGAGCTCTGGATTTTTTTTTTTTTTTTTTTTTTTTTTTTTTTTTTGAGACAGAGTCTCACTCTGTCGCCCAGGCTGGAGTGCAGTGGCTCTATCCCGGCTCACTGCAATCTCTGCCTCCTGGGTTCATGCCATTCTCCTGCCTCAGCCTCCTGAGCAGCTGGGACTACAGGTGGCCACCACCAAGCCCGGCTAATTTTTTTGTTTGTTTGTTTTGTATTTTTAGTAGAGACGGGGTTTCACCGTGTTAGCCAGGATGGTCTCGATCTCCTGACCTCATGATCCACCTGCCTCGGCCTCCTGAAGTGCTGGGATTACAGGCGTGAGCCTTCACGCCTGGCTGGAGCTCTGGATTTTTAAACAGTATTCTACTTAAAAAGAAGTGACTTTTATAAGGAAATTAAAAATCCCAAATTAAAATGCTATTGTGGTAAGTAATTTTTGTGTTTCTGGAATGATTTCATTTAGACTGCTTAAGTGATGCCAACTGAGATAAAAAGGGAAGACGGCGATAACTCCAAGCAAATGTTATCAGAAATTTATTCTTCAAGGCTATAAGTTGTAGCCTTGAATAGTAATGTGACTAAATTATTTTTAGTTACTTAAGAATCTCATCTTGAAGCCAGGGCCTCTGCATCTTGAGTTGAAGGAAGAACAAATACTTCTAGGCATGATTTTCCCTGGCTTCTGTAATATGCATCTTTATTTAAACCCAATGAAACTAAAAAAAAAAAAATGTTATCAGAAGGGAGGATGGGGTAAGCCAAGAGCTAGTGAAAAATATGTACACCATTGTCCCAAATCCCCTGTATATGGGTAGGGAGTGCTAGGTATGTGAGAGGGGAGACTCCTCCAGGAGGAGAAATATGCAAGATTTGCCAGAAAAGTTTTCCGAGGGAGAGTTTCCCAACTGGGAAACCATATAAACCTCAACCCCAAGGCTACAGGAAGAAGAGACCAAAAAGCTCAAAGGATCTTTGTGAAAGAAAAATTATCTTTGGTTGGGACAATCTAGAATTTTTGCAAGTTGAAATAATGGCAAATTTACTAGTACATAAATTTGACAACCATAGAATATCCCATGGAAAATAGGATTCCCTAATATTTACAACCCAGAGAATTTAGGTGAACTGAAGTTATACATATATTCCTGAAGATGGCACAGGTTGAAACCACATATGATATACAAAGACAGTTATCGGTACATTCCTGTCCCCAGTCCATCCAGATGCCAATAAGCCCACATCTACTCATCTTGTTTTATGTTTGAAAAACTACAACCAAAATATGGAGCTCTAACAGGGCCATATCCACAAAGATACCTAGAAGGAATTTATGTTGTGTTTCTTTGTTGTACGTTTTTGAGAACTTATTCTGCTAAAGGACCTAACAACCACTTCAGAAAATAAAACACTGAGTAATATACAACTGTAGCACTTGTGTTTACTACCTAATAACTTTGGTAGGACATGACAACCATACACAAAATATATGCTATAAGGAAGAGTGTGATTAATACATGATTGCATAGAACCATATAAAATTGCCAACATTCAAGTGTTTTGGACCTCCAGAAATGGGAATTTGACTTTCAAGGTGATACAAGTTGAACACATTCTGCAACGTTTTCATTCCTATAAAATCGGTTGCAACGACAGTGAATTCTAAAACCACCTACATATGGTTACTTCTCCATATGTTCATGGAGAAACAAACTAGTAAACAAGAAGTGAAATGTGCATGCGATAGAAAATACAGAATAAGGAAACAAAAGCTCAGAATTAAGAGCCGGGTATAGCCACTAAGAGTGAGCACAGCAGCTCAATGGAGAGGAGACAGATGTGGGGAAATAGGACAGACCCCCAGGTCAGACAAGTGACTGATAGCTTCAGCCCTTGGTCCAGGCAGAAGCAGCAAGGAATCTGCTTGCACCAGGATAAAACCTGTGTTGGACATACAGGACGGTGTGTCCCTGATGTGTGGTAAACGATGGAAATATCAAGATCACTCACATCCAGAAAAATAGCTACTAAGGTATTTCATTTGTGGTATATTCTCACACTAACCTATCTCAGCTGAATACGTTGAGAGCAAAATGGACTCCCTACATTTCCATGGGCTGATACACAAGAGGTAGCAGAGACAATTTCACCAGCACTCTCAACTACAAAGACATGGGTGTGTGATCAAGAATCGACAGATAATTACGCAAAGATAAAATGGTAAATAGGGTCAAAAAGCTCAATGAGCAGGAGAACCCATATCTCTAAAAAATTCAATAGAACAAACAAAATAGGACATTGAGTTAAGAATAATTAATATCTTTAGGAAGGTAAGTGAGGATTTCACATTTATGAAATAAGATCAGTCTGCCAACTAAAAATAATGTAGGTATTCTATATCAACATTTATATATACACATGCATTCCTGATAACTTTTTGAAGCTTAAGGGATGGTACAAATAAGTGGATAAAAATAAAGAAAAAATTACCACCTGGAAGATCATGCTGAGTAGTTTTCCCAGGATACAAAACTATCAATAATATGAAACTGATAGAGAAGAAAAAGTAAAAAGAAAAAAATGAGTGAGATAAAACATGCTCAGACGTTCTGGCAACTTTATCCTTGCAAAATTAACGAAGAGAAAGAGCAACGGATTGACATTAAAAAAATAATAATAGGTAAGAATTATGAAGAACTAATACCTGAGTATTTAGATTGAAACATCTGCTAAGGGCCAGGTAAGATATGAAAATAAAAACAACTAGAGCCTTGACAGATACTCAAGGATGAAGAAAAGGGGGAGGAAAAGGAAACCTAGGAGCTTCCAAGGGGAGGAAAAAAGTCCCCGCAATGACGCAAAAGCTAGACCGACAAAGGTCTCCTTTTCAGTAATACTGTATAGAAAAGACAACAGTGGAATATCTTCGAACACTTGAGTTTAAAACATGTGTTTGAAAAATCTTATCCAGAATTTTATACCTAGTCAATTTTGGACAATTCAAGTCTGGCAAAAAAGAAGCTATCCGGAAAGAAGCTATAAAAATCATAAACCTGTACATCCAAAACATAACAATCTCAAAACATGCAAAATAGAAAGAAATAAAATTAGAATGAAACACTGAAAAATGAACAATCATTGCGAATGTTTTTACATATAGCTCTAGGAGAAGACAATTAAGTATAAGACTATGCAGAATTTAATAAATATAGTTTAAAAAGCATTATATATGTATTAAAATTCTCAAAGGAAATATTCACAGAAAGATTATGTAATTGGTCAAAAAGAAAATTTTAATATATCCCTCAAAATGACACATTTAAGTCATGTTCACTGACCACAGTGACATGAATTTAGAAATGGAGTTAGAAAAATAACAAAAAAGCCATATAGTTCAGAATTTCAAAAATACACTTCTAAATCACTCCTGACTTAAAGATTCACTAAAAATGGAAATTTACAAGTTATCTAGAAGAGATAATATGAAATTATTATATTTATCAAAATTTCTAGATAAAAAACAGGAACATTTATAGCTTTTAATTTAATAAAATGGAAAAAAGAAAGTATGATGAATACAGCATAATTAATAGATATGTAAAAATAGGCCAGCCGTGGTGGCTCATGCCTGTAATCCCAGCACTTTGGCAGGCTGAGGTGGGTGGATCACTTGAGGTCAGGAGTCGGAGACCAGCCAGGCCAATATGGTGAAACCCCGTCTCTACTAAAAACTCAAAAATTAGCCAGGGGTGGTGGCAGGCACCTGTACTCCCAGCTACTTGGGAGGCTGAGGCAGGAGAATCACCTGAACCCAGGAGGCAGAGGTTGCAGTGAACCGAGATCAAACCACTGTACTCCAGCCTGAGCGATGGAGTGAGACTCCATCTCAAAAAGAAGAGAGTAAAAATATATTTAAAATATGGAAAAATAAAATAAATACATTAACAAAATAAAGTTTGTCCAAAAAAACCAGTATGTGGGGTAGACCTTTGAATACAATCAAGAACAACTGAGAGAAGTAAAAAAATAACATCTTGAGTAAAAAATAAAACATAATGACAAATAAAAATATTTCAAATAAAAACCAGATAATGCAATATAGAAATGTTTGAAAATATAGATGAAATGACTAAAAATGAACATACAAACTTCTAAATTTGGAATGACAATACACACACACAAACACACACACACACACACACACACACACAAACCCTGGTTAAAAAAATAGTGATAAAATAGCAACCCTAAAATAGTAGGAGGTAATAATATTTTTAAATTTTATTTTGAAATAATTTAAGCTTTTGGAAAAATTGCAAAACCAATACATAAAATTCTCATATGCCCTTCATCTGGCTCCCCCTAATGTTAACATCTTGCCTAACATAATAACATAATTAAAGCTAAATAATTAACATGGATAAAACAACATTAACTACACCAAATACTTTATTTGGATTTCCCCAGTTTTTCCACTTTGTTGCTTCGAGGATCCAAAAAAAAAAAAAAAAAAAATTACACGTTGCATTTAGTTGTCATGTTTTCTTAATCTTCTCCAATTTGTGACAGTGCTTCTGTCTGTCCTTTTATTTCATGACCTTGACACTTCTGAAAAGTTCCAGTACGCTATTTTGTAGAATGTCTCTCAATTTGGGTTATCATATTTTTTCAAGCCTCAATTGAGGCTAAGCATTTTTGGCAAGAATGTCACAGAAATAATTTGCTCTTCTCAGTGCATCTGTCAGGGAATATGTGATGCTGATATTGATGGCGTTAACCTTGACCGCTTGGTTAAGGTGTCTGCTGGGTTTCTCTACTGGAAATTACTAATTTTATCTCTCTAATTAGTAAATACCCTGATTTTTTTTTTTTTTTTTTTTTTTTTAGTGATTTTGCTTATTCATTTTACTATTCCTTGGTAGAACTTGCCTGCAAGAATTTCATCTTTTGTTAATGGCAATTTTCCATTTTCTACGTTTCTATATTTATCAATGGAAGTTTTTCTGTAAGGAAGAGCTGTCCTTTCTTCCTCATTTATGTAAATATTTACTTTGATTAGTATGAACTTGTGGATGCTCATTTTATTCTGTGGATTTTATCCGATATTATTGATTTTGTTGTTTACATTGTTCCAGCTTTGGCCATTAGGAGCTTTTCTCAGGTTGGCTCTTGTACCCTTTCAACATTCCCCTTCCTTACTTTCCAGAACAACATTTTATTCCAGGTTCATCTTGTATTTAACCCACCCCAGCCCTGGAGTTAACCAATCCTCCAAGCAACTCTGGTTGTTTTCACTGAAGAATTATATTTAGAAACCAAGATCTGAGCTCTAGGTATGCATATTTCTAGTGGAGTGTCATTGTATCTAGAGCTCAGCAGACACAGCAAGGAGACATATGTGTCCATATCAACCAATGCAGACACGGAACTGTCTATCCACCTATTGTGTAGGGAGTTGGTTCTTGATGGTAGGTTCGTGGTCTCACTGACTTCAAAAATGAAGCCGCAGACCTTCACTGTGAGTGTTACAGCTCTTAAAGATGGCACAGACCCAAAGAGTGAGCCGTACCAAGGTTTATTGTGAAGAGCAAAAGGACAAAGCTTCCACAGCCTGGAAGGGGACCTGAGCTAGTTGCCGCTGCTGGCTGGGGTGGCCAGCGTTTATTCCCTTATTGTCCCCTCCCATGTTCCGTTTCTGTCCTATCAGACTGGCCTTTTTTCAATCCTCCCCACGATTGGCTACTTTTAGAATCCCGCTGATTGGTGCATTTTGCAGAGCACTGATTGGTGCATTTTACAGAGTACTGATTGATGCGTTTTACAATCCTCTTGTAAGACAGGAAGAGTTCCCCAATTCCCCACTCGGCCCAGGAAGTCCAGCTGGCCTCACCTCTCACTATCATCTCTCTCTCCATCTATCCATCCATCTACCTTTAAAAAACATGATGCTTATAATGATACCTCTTTTAATGAAACATCTGCTTCTATTCCTAAATGACAAGATCCATTCATTCTAGCCTCTCTCCTTTTCTTATTTGTGCCTCTTCTAACAGTGAGAAAATGGCTCTCATTGAACACAATATATTCACTTAATTGTCCATTCTTATTATACACAAAAAGTAGTTTCAGAATTGCTGACTCATATTGCTGAAAAAAACAGATTTATTAACTTGAGTATAGATTTTGTGTCAGTATTTTTTTTCCTTCAGCCTTAGAGTATCCCATCCAAATAGAGATTTCCAAAGTTACTTGATTTATTTTCTTCCTGATATGATTTGGCTGTGTGCCCACCCAAATCTCATCTTGAATTCCCATGTGTTGTGGGAGAAATCCTGTGGGAGGTAATTGCATCACTGGGACAGGTCTTTCCCATGCTGTTCTCGTGATAGTGAATAAGTCTCATGAGATCTGATGGTTTCAAAAAGAGGAGTTCCCCTAGAAAAGTTCTCTCTTCTCTTGCCTGCCACCATGTGAGACGTACCTTTCACCTTCCACCATGATTGTGAGGCCTCCCCAGCCACGTGGGACAGTAAGTCCATTAAACCTCCTTCTTTTGTAAATTTCCCAGTTGTGGGTGTGTCTTTTATCAGCAGTGTGAAAACGGACTAATACACTTCCCCACCCTCAATGTGTCTATGTTTCCTTCTTTTTTTTTTTCTTTGAGACGGAGTTTCACTCTTGTTGCCCAGGCTGGAGTAAAATGGTGCAATCTCGGCTCACTGCAACCTCCGCCTCCCAGCTTCAAGAGATTCTCCTGCCTCAGCCTCCTGAGTAGCTAGGATTACTCCTGCCCAGGCTGGAGTAAAATGGTGCAATCTCGGCTCACTGCAACCTCCGCCTCCCAGCTTCAAGAGATTCTCCTGCCTCAGCCTCCTGAGTAGCTAGGATTACAGGTGCCCACCACCACGCCCTGCTAATTTTTTATATTTTTAGTAGAGACAGGGTTTCACCACGGCTAGGCTGGTCTCAAACTCCTGACTTCAGATGATCCACCCACCTCAGCCTCCCCAGGTGCTGGGATTACAGGTGTGAGCCACTGCCACTGGCTTATGTTTCTTTATATGTCATATTCTTGTATTCTAGTTAGCATTTCTCCCAAATTCTGGTTAATTATTTAAAATTTACTTACAGTAAACAATTCACTCTGTGTGGTATTGTATTGTTTTTGACAAATGTATAGAATTGCATCTGCCATCAGAGTTGTACTACAAAACAATTCTATCACCACAAATATTTTCTTCTACTGCTCAGTTTTAATCAAGCTCTCCTTCCACCCAGAGAAACCAGTGATCTTTTTTCTATACCTATATTTTTGCCTTTTCTGTAAGGTTATACACACACACACACTCATGTATGTAAAACATATAAAATTTGAACAAGTACTATGTAACTCTTGAATCTGCTTCTTTCATATAGCAAAATGAATTTAAGATTAATCTTCTGAGGAGTCAATAATTCTCTTCATAACTGAATAGCATTTTATTGTATAGATGTTTATTGTATAAATACAATACAATGTTTATACAATAAATATCTATAGTTTATTTATCCATATACCAAACATTCGGCATCTTTGTCATACACAATTTTTGATGACTATGAATATTGCTGCTATAAACGTGTGCAGGACTTTTTGTGTGAATATAAGTTTTTATTTTACTTTGGTAAACATTAAGTGATTTCTAGGCCATATGACAAGGGTATTTTTAACTTTATGATAAATTACTATATTGTTTTCCATAATGGTGAGTCATTATGCATTGCCAGCAAGAGTATATGAGAGGTGCTTTGCACCCTAACCATCACTTCCTATTTTCAGTATTTTTTTTGTTTATTTGTTTGTTTTTCGAGACGGAGTTTCGCTCTGTCGTCTAGACTGGAGTGCAGTGGCACAATCTCGGCTCACTGCAAACTCCGCCTCCCCAGATTCAAGCGATTCTCCTGCTTCAGTCTCCCGAGTACCTGGGATTATAGATGCCCGCCACCACACCCAGCTAATTTTTGTATTTTTAGTAGAGATGAGGTTTTGCCATGTTGGCCAGGCTAGTCTTGAACTCCTGACCTCAGATGATCCACCCACCTTGGCCTCCCAAAGTGCTGGGATTACAGGTGTGAGCCACCGCGCCTGGCCTGTCAGTATGTTTTAATCAAACATTCTATTCTATTGAGTGAGTCTTGGACCATCACTGTGATTTTAATTTGTACTTACCCAAATGATTGTGAGCATTTCTTCTTTCTTTCTTTTTTTTTTTTTGAGACGGAGTTTCACTAGGTCGTCAGGCCGGAGTGCAATGGCGGATCTCGGCTCACTGTAACCTCCGCCTCCTGGGTTCAAGAAATTCTCCTGCCTCAGCCTCTTGAGTAGCTGGGACTATAGGCACGCGCCACCATGCCCAGCTAATTTTTGTATTTTTAATAGAGACGGGGTTTCACCATGTTGGCCAGGATGGTCTCAGTCTCTTGACCTCGTGATCCGCCCGCCTCAGCCTCCCAAAGTGCTGGGATTACAGGCATGAACCACCGCGTTCGGCCTTGAGCATTTCTTATATGCATATTTGGCATCAGTATACTTTATTTACTGAAATGCTTGTTTAAATAGTTTGTTCATTTTTTAATCGGGATTTTTAAATTATTGTTATGTTTTGGGTGTTCTTTTTTTCTGATAAAGGTCCTTTGTGAGAAAGGCAATTTCAAAATCTAAATCTGTCCATGGCTTGTTTTTTATTCTCTTAACAATATTTTTTATATAGCAAAGGTATTAATTTTCATGTACATCCATATCCATGCTGTTTTTATCTAAGAGAAAGGTGAGTAACGTCTAAAATATCTCATCTAAAGTTCCTAGTTACTGACTTTCAAAGAAAAAATACCCAGAAAAAGACCACTGACTTTTTTTGAGTTGGTGAAAAGAAGCACTTTGTGTAGAAAGATAACTGAAAACATACACATTATCTTTTCCGGAGGAAGTAACTAATGCTGGGAGGATACAACTAATGTTCATACAGACCATATCTACGGTGGGTTGGACTTTTAAGCAGAGGAGGTGACATTTTATTTAATCATGGAAGATATTTTATTCCCTTTGCATCCAAAAGTGACACAAGTCCAAGTCGATGTCCATGACTTCATAAGTAACCATTTTAACTTGGACAAAGAGAATGTAACACATGAGATAATTTAGGTATATTCATACTTTTGCAAATGGAATAAGAATGACTTTCTGCTGTCTTGTAACTTTTAGTTCCACTGCTACAAAGAGAAAGCTGAGCTGTACATTTAAAATTTAATAGCAACACGGCATTTCTCATGTTTTCAAAGAACATGAAAGATATTTCCATACTCTGAATACAAATCAAGATTGCCGACATTCTAAATTTTTGCAAGAAGACATCTGGTATTTGAAATGCATTTTTCCAAAATAGCCAGTAGATGGCATAAATACCCCTATATCCCACATGTGAATTAGCATTCATATCCATGGGAAGGATGCTGTAGCTCTCCAGACAGAAGGAGGAGGGAGAGAGTACACTGTCAGACATTGCTGAAAAAACTGCTATAGGTCTTGATTTGGAACTGGGCCTCAACATTTCTAAAGAGAAATGCCTGTTGATCTACTTGTTATTGGACACTTCAGAGCTTTTATAGGAATGGAATTAAAAGTTACTTGTATATGTATGTGTGTGTGCATATACGTATATGCGCATATATGTATATGTGCATACACATATATGTATGTGTGTATATGTATGCATATATATGCACACATACATATATACACATATTACTAGAAATTTGATTATTCTTAAATACACATAATTTAAACACACAGAAATAAAAATATGACATAGTCCCACTAAAATCATGGACATTATTTGCTGAACACCTGCAAATAACCACAGAACAAATATCTGACTTGAAGAACAAATCCCTGTTCGGCCCAAGGAGATATTCTGGATTCATAATGATTTCCTGCATAAGAAATGACAAACCAGAACACATAATTTTAGCCGGCCTCCTTTACTGTTGTTTCCCTTAATCATATAGCTCCATTGACTTCTCATTATCTAAATATCTGAATTTCTCAATATTTCTGTAGTTGTAGCTCTCTGTCATACCGTATAATCTTTTTAAAAAACGTTTATACTCAATTGATAATAGAGGCATGGTCCCTATGAAAGAACACTCTTTCCATGTGTAATAAAAATGCACACACACACACAAATCACAATCACAAACACAAACACAAACACAGAAAGAAATAGACCAGCCATTGGATCACTTCTGTATCATTTAGGGTGTCCTAGATAACAAAGATTTGAGCAAGAGGAGGTTTATTTTGTCTACGGTGAAAAGCCCAGACATTGACTCTTTGTGGATTGATTCAGTGCTTAATGATGTTGTCAAGACTGGTGTCCTTCCTATCTGCCTCTGTTCCATCCAACTTGTAAGCAACTCTCCTTGTGGTCACAGGTGGATGTAGTTTCTCCACATTCCGCCTGTCCATGCAGCTGACTTTCCGATTGTGTGTCCCCTCCCATTAATGAAGAAACATTTCTGATAAAGCCCTCAGGAGTTACCACTTTACATCTAGTTGTTCAAGCTTATGTAAGAGTATCTAAATCATCTCTGGCAAGGACTTTTGGCATGGGCATTACCAAGATTTGCTTAAACTAAATAATACTTCTCTCCTGGTTGTGGGATGGAGTTCTGCAGCACCTCATCTCATCACAGGTAGACAGAATCAGGGCACAGAAGAAGAGGAAGCAGCGTAGTTGGGTCAGAGACCACAGATGACAACTTTTTTATGTTCTGTTCTCCTACCACCGCTTTAATGAGTTCTTCCCTGACCATGCAAATGCATCCCATCCCGGTTCCCATCACACCTTCCATCATGCTTCTGCACATTTACTTACCTCTTTTACTCAAATAACATATTCTCTTTCAAGAATATTTTGTTTATTATATCTTTATCCCATTTCCTTTTAGAAAGTAAGCCCTTTCTGGAGCAAAAATACTGTCTGTCTGCTCATGACCATGTTCCCAGTACCTAGGAGCATTCTTCACACACACTAAAGGTAATTAAGAAATAATGGGACAGACATGGTGGCTCATGTCTGTAATCATAGCACTTAAGGAGGCCAAGGCAGGGGAATCTTTTGAAGCCAGGTGTTTGAGACCAGCCTAGGCAACATAGCAAGACCTCATTTCTGTGAAAAAAAGACAAAAACAAAAATCAACTGGGCATCATGGGGCATACCTGCTGCCCCAGCTACTCAGGAGGCCAGGGTGGGAGGATGGGCTTAAGTCTAGGATTTCAAAGTTGCAGTGAGTTATGATTGTGCCACTGTATGCCGGTCTGGGTGACAGAGTGAGACCTTGTCTGTAAAAAAATTTTTTTAATTAAATAAAAATTAGAAACTCATTCATTAAACACATACATACACCCATGTACACAAGCACACACACATGCAGAGAGAGAGAGGGCAGAAAGAATGAGAGAGAGAGAGAGAGAAACTGCTAATGAGGGAAAAATGTGGGCTTTTTCTAGCCCATGGCTTTCCCATTCAAGCACAGCTGATAAGATGCCCAAGAGAGCATTTATTAGTAATGGAAAATGGAGTAATCATAAATATTTGCAGAATAAATATAAGAAAAACTGGTGAACTTGTAAAAGAAACTATGACTATTAACATGTAATCTAATTTTAATTCTATAAATAAATTACATTATACGCTGAAGTAAAGGGGGATTTTCAGACTTCTTTTGAGCAATGTTTGAGGGTGGGAAATGCCCTGGAGGCCTGTATTAGGAAAGTGTTATTTCTCACTCATACAGGAAAAAAACAGTGGATTTTACAAATAATAAAGTTAAAGTGAACTGAAATATCAGGAAGAACAATTGTATATATGGCCCATTGGCTTTCTGCTGAAAAACATAACTAGGTAGTTTTCATTAGACACACCGAAGTTCAGTTAAAAAAAATCAAATGTTTTCATATTTTACATGATTTCTGTTTTACTAATACAAGAAACATTTTGTAAGCACAGTATGCAGAGGCAACAGAAAGGTGTTTTAAATGGTCTTTCATGATATTCTAGCCAATAATGAGAAATATGTGTTGCTTTTAAGGTGAATTGGGTGGATTGGTCATTCCTAGTTTAATGTTTAACTGTTTGATCAATGAAAACAGTGAAATAACCTGGAGAGGGGTTGCTTCTAGGATTTTGTCTCAGGCTATAATCTTGACTTTTTCTTCCTCAATATTTTAATAAAAGAAGATATAAAAATATTTATCATATTTAAGTTATATGTGATTTTTTTTACAGATAAAAATGATTATAAATAGAACTTCAGGATCTGGATAAATGAATAAAAATTTAATTAACCGAAAATAAGATTTAAGTAATAATCTTTATTCTAAAAATCAATTGCTTATGTGTAGGACTAGAGATGGTATGGGATGGCCTAGTACATGACGAACTGCCTTCTGCATTTCCTTAAATATTAAACTCATAGTAGTGAGGTGGCTAGAAAAAGAGAAGCCAATATGGTAAAACCCTATCTCTACCAAAAATACAAAAATCAGCCGGCTGTGGTGGTGGGCGCCTGTAGTGCCAGATACTTGGGAGGCTGAGGCAGGAGAATCGCTTGAACCTGGGAGATGGAGGTTGCAGTGAGCCAAGATCATGCCACTGCATTCCAGCCTGGGCTACAGAGCAAGACTCCATTTCAAAAAAAAAGAAAAGAGAAGCCATTGTGTATCCAATTATGAATAAAATCTATCTAAGAGTCAATGGTTTTTTCTATTCTGTTCAGGTCACAGTATATGGAATATTACAAAAAGAGCAAAGGTGTGCTAGATTACGTGACAGCCAAATAATTTTGTATAGAGCACAATTAATGTTTCTTTCACAGATGTTTCAGTTACACATCTGAAGGTGGTATTACACGTATATATCCCGGCCCACATGCTCTCTTTACAATATGAAATGCTCTCTCCCCCATCAAGGAATAGGATCTATGTTGCTTCCCACTGAAACTAAGTGAATCTTTGTAAATACCTTGACCAAGAGTTCAAGTGATGCTTTATAACTTCAGAGGCTACATCATAATATGTCTTCCATCTCTCTCTCTTTTTTTTTTTTTCTCTCTCTCTCTGGATATGTGCTTTGGGAATGTTAAACTGACACATAAGAAGAAACACTACCTTGAAGTCTTTCCGCTGGAGAGACCACCTGGGAAGCCTCCATAGAGATAAAGAAGATTTAGGGAGGTCCAGGGAGGTTCAGCTGGGTTATCCCCAGCTATTCAAGCCCTCCCAGGCCAGATATGTGATGGAAAATCTTACAAGATGATTCCACGCTAAACCATTTTCTGACTGCAGTTTCACAAGAGGCACTAAGCCAAATCTGCTCAGCCAAGCTTCTACCAAATTGATGTCTGATAGAAGAGAAGCAAACTGTGAGAGCTAATAGAGTAGGCAGAATAGTGTCTCCTCCAAAGGTATCTACATCCTCATTCCTGGAAGCTATGGCTATGTTAGGTTACAGAGCAAATGGAAATGAAGGCTGCAGATAGAATTAAGATTCCAGCTCCCCTTAACATGGGAAGATTATATGGATTATCTGAGTGAGTCCAATGTAGTCGCAAAGGCCCTTACAAGTGGAAAAGGGAAGTAGGCAAATAAAGATGTGACCACCCAAGAAAGACACAGTGTTGCTTACTTAGAAAATGGGAAAAGGGGCCACTAACCAAGGAATATAGTGACCTCTAGGAGCTGGAAAGGGCGAGGAAATGGATTCTGTCCAGAGCCTCCAGAAAGGAATGCAGCCTTTCTAATGTCTTAATATTAGCTCAATGAGACAAATGTCAGACTTCTACAGAATTGTAAGACAGATTGTAAATTTGTATTATTTAAGCCTCTAGGTTTGTGGTTATTTGTTACAGCAGCATTAACAACTAATACAGATTAAAATTATTATTTTTACTTTAAGGTATTACATTGCAGCTGGTTTGTTATACATCATTAGATAATAACTGGAACGGAAGAGCAGTTTTTGTCTGTCATTAGATAGTGAACTTTTTGAGCGGAGTCATATTTGTATCCTGTTGGCCTGGTGCTGAATTTAAAAGATATAATGCATATAATTAATGCTGAATGAATAAGTAAATATCAACAATGATCAAATTATTGTATTAGAGTTCTCCAGAGGGACAGAACTAATAAGATGTATATATACATGAAAGGGAGTTTATTGAAAAGAATTGGCTCACACGATCGCAAGGCGAAGTGCCATGATAGTCTGTCTGCAAGCTGAGGAAGAAAGCCAGTAGTGCCTCAGTCTGTGTCCAAAAGCTTCAAAAGCAGGGAAGCTGACAGTGCAGCCTTCAGGTTGTGGGCCCTGGCAACCACCGGTGTAAGTCTAATAGTCCAAAGGCCAAAGAACTTGGAGTCTAATGTCACAGGGCAAGAGTAACGGATGGAAGCACCCATCATGGGAGAAAGATGAAAGCCAGAAAATTCAGCAAGCCAGCTCATCCCACCTTCTTCCACCAGCTTTGTTCTAGCCCAGCTGGCAGCTGATTGAGAGAGGGCTTTCCTCCACCAGTCTACTGACTCAAATGTTAATCTCATCTGGCAATACCCTCACAGACACAACCAGAAACAATGCAAGCTGTCTAGGCATCCTTCAATCCAATCAAGTTGACACTTAATATTAGCCATCACAAGTCCACTCCTCATCTACTTGAACCCATACACATCTCTTGAAATTATACTTAATCTCCAAATAAAGACAATAATAAGGTCATAATTATGCCTAACATAATACAGCTATCCTTTGTACAACCAGAAGCACACTAATTCTTAACCTAAATGCTATTATATAAAGTTAACAACACTTAAATGCTGATATGAAAATAAATCTTATATCACATGATAAAGGAAGACGAAAAGAAATAAAATGAATATATTTTCTTAGTACAAGTATATACATGCACAAACGTATTCTTAACAAAATGAGGAGGAAATACTCATGACAATTACAGTCCTCGTTTCTGCAGCTGGTCATGTGGTCGTAGCTGGTATTGATAATTACCTTTTTTTACTACCCATTCTGTATTTCCATTGCCTTCAGCAAGCACCTCAGCAGGTTGTGATTTTTTTACATGGTGGAGTGACCTGAACCTTCACTCCTGAAGGGTCTGGGCCATTTGTAGTCCTGCCTGATTTGGGTTGTTGTAGTTTCCACTGACCTTAATCACAGGGCATGGTAATACTAAGAGATGTCCTAAGGGGTCTCCTGTATCCCACACATACTCTTCCTTAGCATGTATGTATTCCATACATACTACTTCATAATGGAGTAGTAGTCTGATTTCATCTTGATAGTTTGAGTCAATCACCCCATCTAGCACTGTCACTCCTTTCTTAGCCTGTTTACTTAGAGGCAGAAGGAGCTCAAAGTGGCCAGGTGACAATCTTAACTTTCAGTTTGATGAAATTATTGCTGTGTCTTCTGGTGGCAGCATTCCTCCCTCTAGAACTAAGACTTCTAGGCCAGCAGAACATAATGTTGTGTGAACAGAAAGCAAAAATGTTGCTAGTGGGTCACTAGGGGTGATGGCGAGTGGTGCCACGTCCACTTCCACCCTTGATTATTGGATCCATGTACCCTGGCTATGGGAGAAAGAGTACCATATATTGAACTCTAATTCAGAGCATACACAAGCTTCTGGAGAATTTTACCCTAGCCCTGCAAAGTATTGTCACCTCATTGGCATTGTAATTGTGACTATAAAAGGCCATTTCGTTATTCTATCAATCCAGCTGTTACAGGATGTTGGGGAACATGGTAAGACCAGTGAATTCCATGAGTATGAGCCCACTGCCGTACTTCTTTAGGTGAATCATGGCAGAGATTCCTAGGATTTTGGACTAAGGCTCTATCATCTTCTGCAGATAACTACTCTCCTTAAGAGAGACATTACAGGATCTTGGCCCATTACAGGATCTTGGTAGAAACTAAGTGTTTAACTACGGGTCACCAAGTTACCAAGTGACCTGAACTACCTACCATCAGCTGGGTGCTTTCTGACTCATCTACCCATAAAGTTGGACATATACAACAGCATTCCATCATCAAATGGAAGTGGTACATAAATTATCGGGATCAAGCAGGTCCTGAAGCCACAAATAAGTTACATGAAGAGTGGCTCAAATGCCCATGGTCCCCACTCCTGCCACCCTGACTTCTCTCTCCCATCCTGCACATGTGACCTCATATATAATTCCTTATAATCAGTTGATGGAGGAAGAGAAGACTGGGGCCTCGTTTACAGATGGTTCTGCATGATATGCAGGCACCACCCAAAAATGGACAGTTGCAGCACTACAGCCCCTTTCTAGACATCCCTGAGGGACAGTGGCGAAGGGAAATCTTCCCAATGGGCAGAACTTAGAGCAGTGCACCTGGTTGTGCCTTTTGCTTGGAAAAAAAATGGCCAGATTTGCGATTATATACTGTTTCATGGATGGTACAATGGTTTGTCATGGTCAAGGACTTGGTAGGATCTTGGTAGGCTTGCTCCTACCAGGTCCTTACAATGGCCAAGGACTTGGTAGGAACATGATTGAAAAATTGGTGACAAGAAAATTTGGAGAAGAGGTATGTGGATGGATTTCTATGAGTGGTCGAAAACCGTGAAGATATTTGTGTTTCACATGAATGCTCACCAAAGGATGACATAAGCAGAGGAGGATTTTAATAATCAAATGGATAGGATGACTCGCTTTATGTCCACCATTCAGCTTCTGTCCCCAGTGACTCCTGTCATTGCCCAATGGGCTCATGAATGATGGTGAAGGAACTTGAAATAATAGATTAGGCATGCTTGAGAAAACTAGGGTTGCTTGCTTATGAGGAAACAAGAACGAGGAGACCTTGATAGATATCATCAACTAGTTGAAGTTCTGTCGTATGGAGAGGATTCATGGATGTTTTGTACCAAGATGGATAAGATGAACAGATGTGGTAGCAAGACTGATTTTATTAGAAGATATAGAAAATGTACTTACAATCAAAGTTTCCTGAATTGGCGTTGAGAACCCTTAAGGTGTAGGCACACAATTTTTGCTGGAGATTTTCTAAGGCTTAAAAAAAAAAAAAAAAAGGTTTCCATAATCTTGTGTTTTACAGAAGTGCCCTTTTAAAACATAATATCAAATTCATTATTTCCATGTAAGTCCAAGTCTAAATACTGTTATTTTCTCTTGGGTAATATGGTATTTAGACTTAAGCCTACAGGGCAAATCTTATACTGCGATTAGTGGTTTTCAAAGTCTTTCAATAAATCACGCACATAGAAAAGAAACATTTTCTATGATCTTTCAGGTAAAACAAGGATATATATGGAGCTTAGTTTAAAAATTATTTTTTCTTTATAAGGAAAAATCAAATGTAAAAGATTAGAAAAGATATTAATGTTTTATTAGTATAAAATATCCAAATAAAGCCTCATCAAAATCTTGACAGAAATGTGAACCTGAATCTATGAACATAACTTTTGTTCAAAGCGTTACATTTGCAGCCGGTATATACAATTCCGAGGCAAGACTGACTAGAAATAGTGATTTCTTCAATTTCTGGATGGCATCAAAAAGAAATTATTCTGCATAAATAGGTAATAACATTTTTAAAATCTATCTTTTACTCTTTCAAAATTAACAATAGCTGAAATTACATTTAATGAACTCAGCATCTCCCCATTTTCTTTTACTGGCACAAAGAGTATTGAAAATTTTCATAATAGTCATTAATTTTAAATCAAAAATATTTGAAATAGTTACCTTAAAATAATGACTGATTATTATAATGACTAGCCCAATAATGACTCATTAATGGGCTAGGTGAGCACTATTAGTACAGTTACCTTGCAGTCTGCTAGATTTCACTGAAAGGCTCCATCTGCTTTCATTGGAGAGAAGTGTCTGTCATCAATTCCAGGATTTTGTTTGGAGCTGTACCTCCACGCTATAGACTGGATATTTGTATTCCCTCCAAATTCATACATTAAAACTCCAATCCCCAATGTGATGATATTAGGAGGTGGGGCTTTTAGGAGGTCATTAGGTAATGAGAGTGAACCCTTCATTATAACAATTAGTGTCTTTATAAAAGAGACCCCAGAGAGTTGTCTCGTACTTTCACCATGTGAAGACTCAGGGTGAAGATGGTCATCCATGAATCAGAAAACAGGTCCTCCTCACCAGACACCAAATCTGCCAGTGCATTGATTTGGACTTTCCAGCCTCCAAAACTGTGAGAAATGAAATTCTGTTGTTGATGATCCACCCAGTCTATGGCACACTGTTGTATCATCCTAAATGAACTAAGACATCCCAGAATGGCCAGTAGATTTTCCCAAATTTCCTTCTGACTGGCTCTACCTTGAGTTGTGTACCTTAATCCCTGGACACCTGGAATACAATATCTTCCAATAGCTCCATGAGTTCCTTACACCTAATTGGCAACCATACATTCTGCAGCTGGCTGTAGAGATGGCCAGCTGGTAGTGCACAACTTGGCAAGGCTCTGTATATGGCTAAACAGCAGCAGGTTCTTGATAACATGTACAGGAAGTACCATTAGGTTGGTTTCTACTTAGATGCTCCTTTGAGAATCCCTGGATGGGGTCCCCATAGCTGGAAGTGACCAGTCCTGTGGACTCGAGCTCCTCCAGCTCTCATCTAACCATCTAAAAGCTAGAATGTATCAAATATTGCCAATGTAGCCAGTGGTATAAACCATTCAGAGCACATTGATTGGGAAGCTCTACCATCAACCAGAAAGTAGATGCTTATCGAATATATTTGTGGAGTTCTTAAAACCATCTCTATCTTCTAGCCCTCACTACTCACTGGAAATTCTCTCTTCACTTGCTTCCTTAATACCTAGAATTCCTATTAGTAAAGGAGTTAGGAAAAGGAGATGAGAGAAGGGAACTTAAGTTAATTGAAAGCTGCTGCATGTGAAATAACTTCGGCAATGAACTGAAGATTTAGCTCCCCACAAAGTTCAAATATTGAAATCTTAACCTCAAAGTTATGCTATTAGAAAGTGGAAACTTTGGTAGGAGATTAGATCATAAGAGTAGAGCTCTTATGATTGGCATTAGTGTTTTTATAAAAGACAACATAGAAAGCTAGTAGCTCCTTCCACCACATGGGGATTCAGTGAGAAGCCACAATCTATAAACCACACAGCAGGCCCTCAGGAGACAATAAATCTGCTGGTGCCTTGATCATGAGCCTCCCAGCCTCCACAACTGTGAGAAATAAATTACATTGTTTATAAGCTATCCAGTTTATGGTATTTAATTGTAGCAGATATGGGCTAAGCCAATTTTATTTATGTACATCGTTATAACATCTCTATGACATAAACGTTCATAAAGACTTTCCACATATAAAGGAAATAAAATTTATAAAGATTGATTCATTGATTGTGCAGCTTGCAAACAACATAGGTAAGATGTAAATCTAGGTTAAAACGCCAAATTCAATGATTAGTTTTCTCGACGTGTGCTGCCTCTATGAACTTTAATGAGCACAAGAAAGGTGTGTTCACTAAACTTTTTTTTAACGTAAAGTGTGCATAAACATTTCTTCAGGATATAAATATGTAGCATTTCTCTAGTGCTTCATATGTAGAAAGTTGGAGGCCATTAATTTTACTATAACATCAAAAACAATCCAGATAAGCTGCACAACATTTCTTAAACTCAACAGAAACCTACATGAAGTCAACTCCAAAAAATGAAGGACACTTCAAGGAGACACTTGCTGCCACTGCTGTCATCCCATGAAGAATGGAAAAAGGGCAGTCTGTCTCAGAAAGGGATAAGGAGAAACTTGCCAAATGTTTACAGAACGATGAATGACTGATGTGACAGATCAGAATTCTGAGGCAGCCCAGCCACAAAGTGAGGTGCCCACCCGCCAACTCTTTCCCATAGGTTTTCCCTGAGGCCTGGCAGAAGTAGGCCAAACCCAAGGGCTACACAAAAGGGTTGAGATAGAGCATCCCTGAGCAGTGCAAGGGGAGTCTTCATATGGAGCAGCCACCCTCAGAAGGGGCAGGGGAGGGCAGAGTTTCATTGTAAAAAGAAAGAGAAGTCCTACAAGACAGGTATCAGAATTCAGTAGATAATTTGAGCCTATAGGAGAAAAAAGAGCATTGAAAGAACCTGTGAAGTGTGCATGTAGATAAAGAAAAGTTAGTAGATGTATGAACTAAAATTGGTTTCTAGAGTTTATATGGAGTATGATAGCAGAGAGGCAGTAGAGTTTACTGAGTACAGCTAGACTCAGAAACTAGACTGCTTTGGCTCAAAGCCAGTCACTACTTTGTGGTCTCTAATGTGAATTTGGCAACATGATTCAACTTGCCTGCTTCAAGATTTTCATCTGTAAAATGAGAGCAATGATAGAGTATGACTTATAAGGTCATGGTGAGAATCACATAATCGTGTTCACAGAAAACACTTAAAACAGTACCTGGAACATGTTCTGCAATTTTACTGAGGTTTATGGAGGGAAGACATCAAGGTACTTACACTGTCTCATCTATTGTACTCTTGTCACCAATCCTGCAGGGCTTTTTGAAGCTCTGCACATCCAGTATACACTGTGACCACCAGGGTTGCACACACGCTATTCCTATCTGTTGTGATTGTGTTCTTAGTCCTTCTCTTCTCTGGGTAACGGGACCGGTTTCATGAGCATGAGACCTGTGAATCATATGTAGCCCCAGGCACAGAATGGCCCCAAAACTTGATTTAATGTTCTGCTGCTGCTTTCTTCAAATCCACAAGAATTTTTTAACAAGGGACTCCACATTTTCACTTTTCACCAGGCCCCACAAATTATATAGCCAGTCCTGCTGGCCAGCTTCCTCATCTCAAGTCTTGGCATAGATGCTACGCCTTCTAGGTAGACCTTTCTAAAACTAGGTTAATTGCCACTGTTCTATTCTCTATTAGAATTTTTCACTTTCCCTATTATAGTACACACTACACTCTTAAAAACATTTATCTCTGTGAGATATTAAAAGCTCCATAAAATCAGGAACATGGTCATTCTTGCTCAATATTTTTCCCCCAGCATTTTTCCTGGGCTATGACAATATGTACTCAGCAACTATATGTTGAATGAATGAATGAATATGTTTATCTTGAGAATAAGAAAATCTCTAAAAACTACTGCCTCATGATTCTATCTTACAGATAAATCATGCCAATTTCCCAAAATGGAATTAATCCATGCCAAGTAGAAGAGTCTTGAAGGCAAGGGATCTGACACCCCACTGAGAAGCAATGGAATTCTCCCAGAGGAGCAGCAGCAAGTTTCCACTGTAAGAGGGAAGAGTGAATTAAGAGTGGTGTATCTGTGGAAGGCCGAGGCGGGCAGATCACGAGGTCAGGAGATCGAGACCACCCTGGCCAACATGGTGAAACCCTGTCTCTACCAAAAATACAAAAATTAGCTGGGTGTGGTGGCATGTGCCTGTAATCCCAGCTACTTGGGAGACCGAGGCAGGAGAATCACTTGAACCCGGGAGGTGGAGTTTGCATTTAGCCAAGATTGCACCACTGCACTCCAGCCTGGTGACAAAGCAAGACTCTATCTTAAAAAAAAAATGTACCTGGACATTTTATACTCAATAGTTGTGATGTTTGTTGATAGAGATTAGAATTGCTACCAGCTATGTACTAATAGTTGTCAATTACTGACACTCGTAGAAAGTAAGTAGAGATTGCCAGAGAGTAGGAGACAATAAATGCAAGAGGTTTACAAAGAATCACTGTCCCAAGAATCCTCTCTGCCCAGCTCTCAAGGAGATCTATTTAGCAGGTACAGTTACACATAGTATTTTAACTTGGTAGTTTAGCAAGAAGACTACAATTAGTGTAGTTGTTTGTTTTCTTGTTTTTGAGACAAGGTCTCACTCTGTTGCCCAAGCTGGAGTGCAGTGGCACCATCATAGCTCACTGTAGCTTTGAATTCCGGGACCAAAGTGAGCCTCCTCAATCAGCCTCCTAAGTTGCTGGGACTACAGTCACATGACACCATGAGCAGCTAACTAGATTGAATAAGTATGTTCTGTGAGAAAATTGTTCTTAGGTTCTTACCATACGTATTAGTCCATTTTCACACTGCTGAAAAAGACATAACCGAGACTGGGAAGAAAAAGAGGTTTATTTGGATTTGTAGTTCCATGTGGCTGGGGAGGCCTCAGAATCATGGGTGGGAGGCAAAAGGCACTTCTTACATGGTGCCAGCAAGAGAAAATGAGGAAGATGCAAAAGTGGAAACCCCTGATAAAACCATCAGATCTCATGAGACTTAATCACTACCACAAGAGCAGTATGGGGGAAACCACCCCCATGATTCAAATTATCTCCCACCAGGACCCTCCCACAACACATGGGAATTATGGGAGTACAATTCAAGATGAGATTTGGGTGGGGACACAGAGCCAAACCATACCAGCATATTTTTATGTGCATCTTCTTTCTAAACTGGCCACAAATTTAAGCTGCTTTAGGATAAACAGGTTTGTGATCACCTCTTTACCCTCAGTGAATTAGAAATAATTCATAAAGCACTACTTAATAGTTAAAGGATGCTGTCAACACCAGAACTGGGCTCTAGTCTAATTTCTACTAATTAGCTGGGTTACTTTGGGCAAGTCATTTAATCTTTCTACCCTTCAATATTTTCAAAATAAAGCTTGGATGGTTTCTATATTCCCTCTTAGTTGTAAAGTTCTTAATTAAGAGAGAGGAAAAAATAAAAGAAGAAATACTTTGGAGGTAGAGGTAATCAAAATTCATGTAAAGATGATATTGTTTTGAGATGGAAACAGAATATTGAAATAGAGTCAAAAGAACAGAATCTCTACATATGTGAAGCTGTACAAATTGCACCAAGATTGTTCCCAGAGAGTGTGCCTTCTGTAGAGGGCTAAGTCATAGTTAGGGATACAGTTTAAAGGGGAAAACACAAACAAGGGAGAGCACTCTTGTAAGATATAATTGTGCAGAAGGAAAGGCAGGCTCTATCATTGCACATCATAAATGCAAATCAGTAGAGAAGTATGTAAATGAAAAATGTGCCACCTTTATTTGGCTTTTCCATGCATCTCAGAGTTTGACTAGAAATGTTTCATTCACTTAAAGTAGAGGCATTTCTGTCAAAGGGCTTCCTTAAATGTTTTGTCACACTCAACAGCAATTTCATTGAAAAAATACTTTTAAATTTTTGAAAAGCCACCTCTTATGGAAAATGTGTTTAGCCAGAGCAATTCCTCCTCTTTTCGTCAGCTTTCTGTTCCTGTGCTTTTGAGAGTAGGGTTTAATGGTATCCATCTTAGGGGCATGGACTTACATGAGCAGGCAGTAGGCTTTCTGTATCACAGCTGGGGACACCCTGAATCATAGTGACATGAGTCAGAAAAGATACAAATTAATATATGGTTTGAACCCCCTAAGTTGGGGGGTGTGGAAGGAGGAGGAATATATGTTCTTTAGGGTTAATAGTCTCATAAAGCAGAAGACAGAGATACAGGCAGAGATTGAAGGGTTTTTTTGTTGTTGTTGTTTCCTGATAACTGAAAGGAAATATGGGTAACACAGACCTAATGGTTTGTGTGTTTCAAGAAACAGGAATTTATATTCCAGACTATGACATGAGACATCAGAGAGATAAATCCTTGACGAGGCATAGAGTGCTTCCCATAAAGATCAGGACATGACTGATAAAAAGGAGGTTTATTGATCTTATCAAAGGCCTTAGACCTGAGACTTGTGGGCGAGAGAAAAACAAACAATGTTACAAGTGGAAAACCAGACACTATAAATGTGTATAGGAACTGCCAGGACCTCTCAACACTTGAGCTGAATTGGTGTGGCATCCCTTCTACTTATTTCTATTGATTAAAGAAAGTCCTCGTTCCAGCTCAGACTCAATTCCCATTTATAGACAGGAAAAGTAAGGTTTTGGAAAAGATAAATATTACACTAAAGGTTGCATTGATGGTAAATACTGTAATGGGATTTCAGCGCAAATTTCTCTAATTTTGTATCTCATGCACATTTCACCTTAGTATGGTTCCTTTGTTAAGCTCATCAAAGCATTTGGCCAAGGTGGGCAGATCACGAGGTCAACAGATCAAGACCGTACTGGCCAACATGGTGAAACCCTGTCTCTACTAAAAATACAAAAATTAGCTGGGCATGGTGGCACATGCCTGTAGTCCCAGCTACTCGGGAGGATGAGGCAGGAGAATTGCTTGAACCTGGGAGGCGGAGGTTGCAGTGAGCCCAGATCACACCACTGCACTCCAGCCTGGCGGCAGAGCGAGACTCCATCTAAAAAAAAAAATTATTATATTACTGGGAAAAGATTAAAATACTAGTTAGATAATTATACAATTAGATGTGGGCAGTTTATAAATATTATAACTCAGTTGTTTTTAGAATTTTTGGTCTGTTATTCAACTGTTTTATTAATAGCTCAATATTTTATTAATTACATCAGGCCATTCAAGGTCTTATAAAACCAAGGTAAATTTTCAAATATATTTTATATTTGATCACATATGCATTTTTTGATGTTAAATTAGCTTTATGCTTTTGGAAAAATAGAGATAAAACTGTATTAAATCCTCAAAAATCAAATAGTAACAAAATTCATAGCGTTTAATATATTTCCTGTGACTATAGTACACTATAATATAATATACTGCAAAACTTTTCCTTAATTTCTATATAATTTCTATCCATTTCTGTAACTGGACTGTTTGTAAAAGCAATTGTCAGAGTTATCATTTTTCATGTTTTATTTCATGATTTTTCTCAGATACAGTTGAGAAAATTTTTCTCAAAGTTTATATTTTCCAAAATTATGTATCTTATAACTGCTGAATTGTTAAAAAGCAGATACAGTGGCCTCTGATTCTTTGCCTTCCATTCCTAAGATTGAATTGTGCTGTGTCACAAAGTCACAATCAAGCATTCCCAAGTCATATAAGGATGATACTTCACACTTTGACATTTTCCTCTTTCTAGAAAGGCAACTGAATGAATATAGTAGAAGGATAGGAGGGAATAAATGCATAAGCATACCCAGAATGGGAGAAGACAGCAGCAGGCAGGGGAAAATGGTTACGGTAGCATTGAGTGACCAACCGCTGTTCAGATGAATGCAGACACAACAGAAGACTGCATAGGAGGGAGAAGCTTTTCCTCAGAGATGGAAAAGCCTCAAAGTACCTCCGGCCTGAGAGTGAGCAGCATACAGGAGTGAATGATTAGGTTTTGTGTCCGCACCCAAGTCTCATGTTGAATTGTAATTCTCATAATCCCCATGTGTCAAGGGAGAGATCAGGTGGAGGTAATTGAATCATGGGGTTGGTTTTTCCATACTATTCTTGTGATAGTGAGTGAGTTCTTATGAGATCTGATGGTTTTATAAGTGGATTTTTCCCCTTTGATCAGCACTTTTTCTGCTTGCCGCCTTGTGAAGAATGTGCCTTGCTTTCCCTTAGCCTTCTGCCATGACTGTAAGTTTCCTGAGGACTCCCCAGCCATGCTGAACTGTGAGTCAATTAAGCCTCTTTCCTTTACAAATAAGCCAGTTCAGGCAGTTCTTTATAGCAGTGTGAGAATGGACTAATATAGGGAGTAACAAGGTTGTCTCTGTAGCCTCTGCTCCCATTCTGGTCTGAGTTTCAACACAAGTGGAAGAGCAGATTCCTTAGGGTAAAACCAGATAACCCATCCCAAATTCTCCAGGCACCAAAAATCTGTCTGGGAAAAGAAAAGCCTCTTGGAAGAGATTATGTGAGCATTTGTAATCGAGAAAAATGACTCATTTTTACCTCGGAGAATTTTCATTTAGTTAGTTGATTATTGCTTTCTCTCCTCTCTCTTTGTTCCCCCTTTCTAGAATTAATATTCAACAAATACTGCAGCTTCTGTATACCTCATCTAGCTTTTCTCTTTCTTTTTTTCTTATGTGTGTTTTTCTTTTGGGGTTTATTTGCTTTAATTACTTTTTTACTGACTTCTAGGCAAATTACTCAATCCATCTTCATGATGATTGTATTAATTCATTCTCGCACTGCTATAAAGAACTGCCCAAAACTGTGTAATTTATTAAGGAAAGAGGTTTAATTGACTCACAGTTCCACATGGCTATGGAGGCCTCAGGAAACTTACAATCATGGTAGAAGGGGAGCAAACATGTCCTTCTTCACATGGTAGCAGGAGAGAGAAGTGCCAAGTGAAGGGGGAAAAGCCCCTTATAAAACCATCAGAGCTTGTGAGAATTCACTTACTATCATGAGACTGCATGGGGCTAACTGCCATTAGGATTCAATTACCTCCCACTGGGTCCCTCCCATGACACATGGGGATTATGGGAACTACAATTCAAGATGGGATTTGAGTGGGGACACCGGCAAACCATATCAATTATTAATACTTCTACCACATCAATTTTGATATTCAGTGTTTCACTCAGTTATTACGGTTGTTGTTCTTAAAGTATAAAGAATCTTTGATTTCTACAATTATTTGTTAGCAACTTTTCTCATTTTAGAACTATGATATATCCTATAACTTCTTCTAGCATAAGGAACTTTTTTTAAGTTTGTTACTGCCTCTTCCAGTAGCTCTTTTTTGCCTTTATGTTGTTACTTATTCTTCTTCAAATAGTGTTTGGCCTTTGAGGACCCGTTAATATGCATATGTGAAAGTCCAAATCAGTATTGGCAGATGGTACAGGTTTCCTCAGCTGCTGCAACACTCAATGTTACCTGATGGTCAACCCAGCTGCTGGTTTCAGATCCTGCTGTAGTGAGTAGCCTGGGGTGTGTCTGGTTGGAATGCCTCTGAGGATTGGCTTTTGGTGAGGAGGTGCTCCTTGTTTATTGTGGCAGAAGAATAATGAGAACCTTACTCTTTTTCTCCTCCTGGGATCAATTTCTCATGTTGGAAAAAGCAAGTTACTCCACTTCATTTATAGACCTGTAGTTGCAGCTTTACCTTGGGGGAAAACACTGATGCTTGGCTGAGACTGAATACTGAAACAGCGATTCTGAAATCTTCTGTCAAAATCTCTCTCTCTCTGCTCTATGGGATGCTCTACCCTAGGTCATGCTGTCTCTGATTTGGGGGTTCTCCTGTATGTATGTACATACCTCATATCTGTCTGCGGGTTGCAGTTTCAGCAACTTAATTCTGTTTTCTTTCTACTTTTTGGACAGCTTCCTGTTTCAGGTACACCAGTGGTACCCATAAAGGTTTCCTAGTGGCCATTGATTATCTCTTGTGTTTCTGTTTTGTTTTGTTTTTTTTTTCCTTGAGATAGAGTCTCTCTTTTGCCCAGGATTCAGTGCAGAGGTGTGCTCTCGGCTCACTGCAACCTTCCATCTCCCAGGTTCAAGCAATTCTCCTGACCCAGTCTTCCGAGTAGCTGGGACTACGGGCACGCACCACCACACTGAGATAATTTTTGTATTTGTATTTATTTATTTATTTTAGTAGAGATGGGATTTTGCCATATTGTCCAGGCTGGTCTCAAACCCTGACCTCAAGTGATCTACCCACCTTGGCCTCCCAAAGTGCTGGGATTACAGACCTGAGCCAACATGCCCAGCTTATCTCCTGCTTTTATACTTCATTCATTTTCACTGGATTTTGGTAGTGAAGAAAAACACTCATCAGCTTTTCTAAACCTGAAGTCCAAAGTCTTTCTCTAAAATTTATACTCAACTGCCTCTACTCTAATGGGAACCAAACAAAATAGTAACTATAGAAAAAAACACACATTCTATTATTGAATATGAGAATTATGATAGATGTGCTCTTGGTTTTTGACTATATAATTAGGTCATATGTTGAATGGAGATGGTTGTAATGAGAGTTTATAGCAGAAAACAGGAGGTAGATTAACAAGATATTTAAAAATAGTCTTTTTTGGATAAAACACTTTAGGGCACCCATCACAGCTCAAAATTACGGGCCCTTAAGGAAAATAAAAATAAGAATATTGCATCACAGCATCTCCAATCACCCAAAAAAAGTCAAATAATGAGATTTTCCACTTTCTCCACAAAGAAAACCTCTTATGAGTCCAAAAAACTCTCATTTTACAGTTCATTGTGAATTATAGCATTTCAAAATACAGTGAGTTAATATCTTACATCTTTTCAAGTGTATTTATTTTTAAGTTTATTTATTTCTGAATCATGGTAACTCCTATGCTCCCCTTTAATGCTCCTCTCTGTCTCTCCCTCTTTTTCTTAAGCCGACTTTGAAGTTTATTAAAATAAAGCATTAGCAAACAATATGCAAAAACAAAGTTCTTTAGAGTTACGGCTTTGAAAAGCACAATATAATAAAAACAAATATAGTTTTAGAAGTACCAAAGTAACAGAACTGAAGAATGTTGCTGGAATTTCATTTTCTACAGCATAAATGAAAGCAGAATAAGTACAAATAAGAAGGATGCCTACAGTGCAGACTTCCGCTTGGTCTTCATTATCTGCCTATGAAATATTTTCTTAGGTGAATGTATTTAGGAAGATACAAACATTCAGTTTTCATGATTATAATACTCTGTAATTTTAAAATAAGTGAATTTCAAATTATTACTTAAACCAACCAGGTTAAAAAAGAAAATCACTTGCTTACCCATGATCTTCAAGAGTCTTGACAGTTAAAATATTTTATGAATAAATCAAAGTTACATCATCTCCAAAGGTATTAGAAGGGACAATCTGACACTAAAAGATTTCTTTTTTACAAAGATCTTGAGATTCTTTGGCCTCACTGGTAGTTTGTAATAGTGAACACCAACTTTTATTAAGAAGGTACTATTAACGGGGGAAAACTCTACCTTTACACAAAGTTCTAAACTTTAACATCTTCAAATAAGCCCTTAAAGGATAATGATTTATGATGATTTTAAAACTTTTAAGAACTGAGTAATTTGGACAAGAACCATATCAACCTTTTTCATTCTGCCATGAATGATTGAAGAATTCTGCTCTGGGACTCGATCTTTTTAACAAAATAACTCCTCCCATTTTACAGCAATTGCTACTAGCAAATATTATAGCACGCACTCTTACTTCAAAACAAAAAAGAAAATTGATGTGTGAGATTTCCTTTTACTTGATTTCTTAAACCATCCAATTTTAGGGTGTGACTTCAATTATAATACAGTTGTATTTCAGGAGATAAGATCCAATATAACAATGGATTGATACATACTGTTATCTCCTGTAATTAGGACACACTAAACTGTGATCCAGCGAATTCCAAGGAACTGTCCAAATTTCTTTCCAGTAGGTAGAATTCTTCGTTACGCCAAAGTATGTTGAATTCTCACTTTTGATATATGCATCTTTTTTGAAAAGAAAAACTCCCAAGAGCCTCATTTGTATCAACGAGAAAAATGTTGCTTCTCTGGGGGAAACGGGGATCAAATCTGAGATTATCCCCCCAAGAGCTACCTTAATAATATTTGAGACCACATATCAACCACCACTTGGGAAAACTTCCTTGCATAAAAATTACCAAACACTTCTTAAACTACCAGGCTGTCTAATACCTTAAAAGATACCTGCTTCTCTGCATGTGAAATGGGTTTCCTGAATACAAAACACTGATGGGTCTTGACTCTTTATCCAATTTGCCAGTCTGTGTCTTTTAATTGGAGCATTTAGTCCATTTACATTTAACGTTAATATTGTTATGTGTGAATTTGAACCCGTCATTATGATGTTAGCTGGTGATTTTGCTCGTTAGTTGATGCAGTTTCTTCCTAGTCTCTATGGTCTTTACATTTTGTCATCATTTTGCAGCAGCTGGTACCAGTTGTTCCTTTCCATGTTTAGTGCTTCCTTCAGGAGCTCTTTTAGGGCAGGCCTGGTGGTCACAAAATCTCTCAGCATTTGCTTGTTTGTAAAGTATTTTATTTCTCCTTCACTTATGAAGCTTAGTTTGGCTGGATACGAAATTCTGGGCTGAAAATTCTTTTCTTTAAGAATGTTGAATATTGGCCCCCACTCTCTTCTGGCTTGTAGAGTTTCTGCCGAGAGATCCACTGTTAGTCTGATGGGCTTCCCTTTGTGGGTAACCCGACCTTTCTCTCTGGCTGCCCTTAACGTTTTTCCCTTCATTTCAACTTTGGTGAATCTGACAATTATGTGTCTTGGAGTTGCTCTTCTCAAGGAGTATCTTTGAAAACTGGCACAAGACAGGGATGCCCTCTCTCACCACTCCTATTCAACATAGTGTTGGAAGTTCTGGCCAGGGCAATTAGGCAGGAGAAGGAAATAAAGGGTTTTCAATTAGGAAAAGAGGAAGTCAAATTGTCCCTGTTTGCAGATGACATGATTGTATATCTAGAAAACCCCATTGTCTCAGCCCAAAATCTCCTTAAGCTGATAAGCAACTTCAGCAAAGTCTCAGGATACAAAATCAATGTACAAAAATCACAAGCATTCTTATACACCAATAACAGACAAACAGAGAGCCAAATCATGAGTGAACTCCCATTCACCATTGCTTCAAAGAGAATAATATACCTAGGAATCCACCTTACAAGGGACGTGAAGGACCTCTTCAAGGAGAACTACAAACCACTGCTCAATGAAATAAAAGAGGATACAAACAAATGGAAGAACATTCCATGCTCATGGGTAGGAAGAATCAATATTGTGAAAATGGCCATACTGCCCAAGGTAATTTATAGGTTCAATGCCATCCCCATCAAGCTACCAATGACTTTCTTCACAGAATTGGAAAAAACTACTTTAAAGTTCATATGGAACCAAAAAAGAGCCCACATCGCCAAGTCAATCCTAAGCCAAAAGAACAAAGCTGGAGGCATCACGCTACCTGACTTCAAACTATACTACAAGGCTACAGTAACCAAAACAGCATGGTACTGCTACCAAAACAGAGATATAGATCAATGGAACAGAACAGAGCCCTCAGAAATAACTCCGCGTATCTACAACTATCTGATCTTTGACAAACCTGAGAAAAACAAGCAATGGGGAAAGGATTCCCTATTTAATAAATGGTGCTGGGAAAACTGGCTAGCCATATGTAGAAAGCTGAAACTGGATCCCTTCCTTACACTTTATACAAAAATTAATTCAAGATGCATTAAAGACTTAAACATTAGACGTAAAAACATAAAAACCCTAGAAGAAAACCTAGCCATTACCATTCAGGACATAGGCACGGGCAAGGACTTCATGTCTAAAACACCAAAAGCAATGGCAACAAAAGACAAAATTGACAAATGGGACCTAATTAAACTAAAGAGCTTCTGCACAGCAAAAGAAACTACCATCAGAGTGAACAAGCAACCCACAAAATGGGAGAAAATTTTCACAACCTACTCATCTGACAAAGGGCTAATATCCAGAATCTACAATGAACTCAAACAAATTTACAAGAAAAAAACAACCCCATCAAAAAGTGGGCGAAGGACATGAACAGACACTTCTCAAAAGAAGACATTTATGCAGCCAAAAAACACATGAAAAAATGCTCACCATCACTGGCCATCAGAGAAATACAAATCAAAACCACAATGAGATATCATCTCACACCCATTAGAATGGCAATCATTAAAAAGTCAGGAAACAACAGGTGCTGGAGAGGATGTGGAGAAATAGGAACACTTTTACACTGTTGGTGGGACTGTAAACGAGTTCAACCATTGTAGAAGTCAGTGTGGCGATTCCTCAGGGATCTAGAACTAGAAATACCATTTGATCCAGCCATCCCATTACTGGGTATATACCCAAATGACTATAAATCATGCTGCTATAAAGACACATGCACACGTATGTTTATTGCGGCACTATTCACAATACCAAAAACTTGGAACCAACCGGAATGTCCAATAATGATAGACTGGATTAAGAAAATGTGGCACATATACACCATGGAATACTATGCAGCCATAAAAAATGATGAGTTCATGTCCTTTGTAGGGACATGGATGAAATTGGAAATCATCATTCTCAGTAAACTGTCACAAGAACAAAAAACCAAACACTGCATATTCTCACTCATAGGTGGCAATTGAACAATGAGAACACATGGACACAGGAAGGGGAACATCACACTCTGGGGACTGTTGTGGGGTGGGGGGAAGGGGGAGGGATAGCATTGGGAGATATACCTAATGCTAGATGACGAGTTAGTGGGTGCAGCACACCAGCATGGCAGATGTATACATATGTAACTAACCTGCACATTGTGGACATGTACCCTAAAACTTAAAGTATAATATAAATAAATAAATAAATAAAATTTTTAAATGCAAAAAAAAAAAAAAGATACTTGCTTCTCCAGCTAGTGGTTGTAACAATTACACACATTTATATTCATATCCATCCTTTTTTGGATGCTGTGATGTTGGCTTCTGTATTTCACTATTGACCAAATTACCAGTATTTACTTCAGAAAGTTGATATGAACTGAACGTAGATTTCTAATTTATTTTTTGGTAAAATCTAAATTTGTTTTTATCAATCAGGATTTACAATAGATTTTTTTCAAGTTTCTGTACCTTATTTTCAGACGTCTCTGCCAGATTATTTTTACCTCCACACCAACTCATTTTGGCTGGGATTCTCAGAGTGAATATACTCTGAATATCATACCTATGACTACCTCTATTTTCTGCATTTAATGCTTTATCTCTTTATTTTCCACCATGTTGAGAATTATGATATCATTTTTCAAATGTGTATTCTTCTTTGCACTTTTTTGTTTGTATTAGATATTTTTAATGTTGCTATTCTTTCTTCCCCACTGCTTTTTTTCTCAGATGAATGAAAGGACCCTTTAGAGGAAGCACAATTGTACTACAGTCCAAAAGATGTTATCCTAAACACCAGCATCAGCACCCTGGCCACACGGAACTATTCTGCTCACTGACCCAGTTCTCTTGGGTTATAATTTATTGGTGACCTTAATAGGACCAACCTTTATATTTTCATCACCCAACTCAATAAGGTATCTTAACCTACCACCACTTTTTTCCAAATTGAAGCCAAAGCACAGCATCTTTTATTTACTGGCTAACAATAGATGGTATGCTATTCCATAGACTCCTGCTATCAGAGTCTGCATTCACAGCAATTATCTTTACCAACAATTTCATTTTCTGCATTTTCCCTTGTGTAATGTGCTGGCAATTGTGTGTGGTTGGGTTCTCTATCCAAATGGCTTTCAAGCTGAACACAGACCTCAAATTCACTTAAGCATCTGGACAGCATGGGAATTATCCATTACTTAGGGGAATCTCACATGCTGCATTTCTATTAGTGAGATAGCATGTCCTTCCCAATCTTAGAAAAAAATGATTTAAAGTCGCTATGCATATGAGCTCAAAACAAACAGCATTTTGAATTCCACAAATATATTAATGTATCCTGAAATCTTTCAGCTTCTTCCAGTGTAGTCAGAGCAGTGAAAATTGAATTAAGATCTCTCTAATTGAGGTATATTTATTTCACTTAGATATCCATATGTCTCTTCCTTTTCCATTGTATTCTTTTTTTTTTTTTTTTTTGGCTGGCACAAAGGATATGTATATGTTATTGAGATTAAGAAGAAAAAAGTATTCTATAATGTTTATAATGCCCAAAATTATAGATGTCAAATGATCAGGCAAATAAACTGTTCTTTATGTAAAAATTACCAAATAAATTAACATGAAATATTCATATTTTACCTCCTCTAAGCCAAGGAATGAAAAAAAATAGGATGATAAAAATGTGTTAAAAATAAGCTTACATTTTCATGGTAAAAATATTGTCTGTTGAACAGATATTTTGGGGAAAAGCAGAGGTGGAAATATTAAAGACGCATTCATGCACTCTCCTCAGTATAAAAGAGACACATTTTTATTCTTACAAAATGGAAAGAACTTATATCTATATATGAAACCTCACTATTCTGACTTAACCTAAAATTACATTTACACGTCTCCTTATATATGGGGTTTTTATTTTGCAGAATGTTTTATATCTTTTCTTTATCCCATTTAGAAGAAAATGTGAAACACTTCTCATGACATTATTCTTTTATAAATGGATACAGACCATTTTATTTTACTGAGCAGTTTTAATTTATGTCTTTTAAATTTTCTACTGGTGGATATTTACATTTGAGAAAGAGATTTCTAGTTGTCCCCAGGGACTGTTCCCCCATTATCCCATAGAAATGAGAGTTTTATTTGCATATCCCCATGTCTTGGCCCCTTCCTGAGTCCTGTGATGTCGTGTGGAATTGACCATGCAGGTGAGCACAACCTCCTAGAGAGTTTGGAGGGGCAGTCTGAACAGAGCTTGAAATCCTGGAAAAATTGTGGAGCCGGGTCATTATATCAGAACTTCATCATTTATTTCTAAACTAAACATAACTTAAGAATGTCCCAGCTAAAATTTTAACAGGAACTCCATCTATCAAGTTACAAGGTATCCATCCAATCCAACACGGATGGCAGTTAGGAGAGTCCAGCTTCCTCTCTATCTCTGTTTCTACAGGCAGTTCTGTTCCTCTTAGTTTTTCTTGCTTTCAGGAATTCTACTATGAAAACAATGACTCACTCTTGCCTCCTTCTGTCACTCATAGGAGATCCTCACGTCATGTGCCTCTTCACATTTTATAGTCACCTCTGTCTCTGATAAGAAAGGATAGGTCTTCCTCTGTAGGTACCCAGCCTTCTCAGCAGAGGCTGTTGGTACAACACAGCTTTTCACTCAACTTCTGGGAAGGGTCAGTGAAAATTCAGCAAAGTGTCCTGAGATGATGGGTAGTAGAGATCTTTTATGTGTTATTCAAAGACTTGATTTCAAACAGGTTCATGTACAGATTCCCTCTATATTCAAAGCAACAATCCCTCTCAATATTCAGGAAATATAGCTTTGCCTAACAGAGCTACCAGAGTATTTCTGGAGATTCTCTACAAAAGACCTTACTTTTCACTTGATTTTACCTGTACCCATCTCCAGTCCATTGGTAACATTATATTTTTGCCCTCTATTTTTGGATACTTTCAAGTTCTTCCCACTGGTCTTTTGTGACTTCAGTATAAATAAGAATTATACTTGGATATCTGCTTAGGCAACCTTAGTATTCTACAAGGGTTCAAGGAGTTTACTTCCCCATCCCCCTCAAAAAGAGAAATTTGAGAGACACAGCTGTATCAACAAGTCACATCTTTGGATCAGTGTAAAGATATCCCTATCTTTAACACTGTGCCTTACACATTACCAGGGTGTGAACATAATGTAACTTCATTTATTTCTGAACTAAACATAACTTAAGAGTCTGAATTCATAACTTGATCTGAGTTAAGCAACATAAATTAGAGTATTCCATCTAAAGCAGGTTTTCTCTGCCTAGTCCTGTTTATGAAAAAATAGGATGATGAAAACATGTTAAAATAAGCTTACATTTTCATGGTAAAACTATTGTCTGTGGGACAGATATCTGGGGGAAAAGCAGAGGTGGAAATATTAAAGACACACTCATGGACTATCCTCAGTATAAAAGAGACACATTTTTATTCTTACAAAATGGAAAGAATTTATATCTATATATGAAACCTCACTATTCTGACTTAACCTACAATTACATTTACACCTCTCTCTATATATTGTGGTTTTATATCTTTCCTTTACCCATTCAGAAGAAAATGTGAAACATTTCCCATGATATTACTCCTTTATAAATGGATACAGACTATTTTATTCTACTGATCAGTTATTAATTTTGGTCTTTTAAATTTTCTACTGGTGGATATTTACATTTGAGAAAGAGATTTCTAGTTGTCCCCAGGAACTGTTCCCCCACTAACCTATAGGAACGAGTTTTATTTGCATATTCTCATGACTTGGCCCCTGACCATGACTTGATGCTCATGGCTGAAAGTCCTAATATTATATACTGTCTTTTGATCACTTAAGAAATAGGACTCAGGAGTTAAGCCTTGGCCTGTCAACTACAAAGATTACATTTCACAATTTTTTTTTGTAGCTGAGAGTTTGTAAATGTAGCTAAGGGCTTGAATAAATTTGGGCTAAAGGAGCAGAAGTAAATTGTGTGATTCCTGGTCCAACTACTTTCAGATAAGGTCCCATATTGATATCAACCAGCAGTATCAGCTTCATTTCATCCATAATGATTTCACTTTTCTCCTCTACTAGGCTTCTGGTCTGAACACTTGATTCTTCATCCCATTCTGAAGACAATTTATAGAGCAATCCCATTCCCATTTTTTTCCATGCTGTGTCATATCATACTTGAAGGTGTTCCCTGCTTTCAAAATTGCACAGGGGAAAAGTAGTATTCTCTATGTAGAGACCTCAGCTTTCAGAAATCACCCCTTTCTGTTTCCTAATTTTTTGTCCTCTCTATGATTTGATGGTCTGAAGGACAAAGATGCTACCCTGCTCCCACTCATGCTTCTAAAACTATCTGTTCTCTCACCTTGGAGCTTGATAATAACACATTTAATATATGGCTGGTGGAAAGAGAACAGAAGGAGGACAGAGACATCAGTTCGTTAGAGTTACATATGTTTCCTCATTTTTAAAAATTCACATTTCATGAAGTGTCATTGACCTAGCATTTCAGAGTCCCACTTTTTCTCTCCCAGAAGTCCATATATGGAGTGATTTTGAGGGAGTAAAAATGTTTTTTAATTTCTCAAGTTGTTAGATTTCCACAGATTATTTCATTATGCCAGTGAGAAACAATGTGACATGAAAAAAAGAAGAAAGAAAGAAAGAAGGAAGGAAGGAAGGAAGGAAGGAAGGAAGGAAAGAAAGGAAGGAAGGAAGGAAGGAAAGACAAAGAAAGAAAGAAAGAAAGAAAGAAAGAAAGAGAAAGAAAGAAAGAAAGAAGGGAAGGAAGGAAGGAAGGAAGGGAGAAAGAGAGAGACAGAGAGAAAGAGGAAGGGAGAGGAGAAAGAAAAGAAAGGAATAAATGTACCCACTCTACACCTAGCCACTGGATAAAGAAAAGCTATTCTGTTCACTTTCTTCCACCACTTTGCTATGTACAACCCTCCCCTTCTTCCCCATTTTATAGCAAAGACAGAGGTGGAAGGAAAAAGCCAAAGGAGAACCTGCTTGATCAGGGAATGGAGAAAGAGACTCTTGAGAGTTAGAATATTAGAGGCTCCTGTACATCACTGATATGAAAACATTTGAGAGCAAAGTAAGATGGTAAGAATTATTAGGCTAATTATTCATTTATCTTGCACATTTATATTCAATGATCCAAGTTAAACAGAACAGTAACTTTTTATTATTTTGGGGGGATTCAGTGATAATTCTTCAAATGGGAATCAAAACAGAGACTGGAAATTATGTGCCTGAGACTTATATGGACTGTGGAGGATTTCTATTTGGAATTTGGGTATGAATGTGCAACATTCAGCTCTACTTTCTCAGATGAAGATTGTATTAGTCTGTTTTCATGCTGCTGATAAAGACATACCCAAGACTGGGCAATTTGCAAAAAAAGAAGTTTAATAGACTCACAGTTCCACATGGCTGGGGAGGCCTCATAATCATGGCAGAATGTTAAAGACACATCTTCCATGGCGGCAGATGGAAGAGAACTTGCTCAGGGCAACTCCCCTTTATAAAACCACCAGATCTCAGATTTAGTCACTATCATGAGAATAGCACAGGAAAGACCTGCCCTATGATTCAATTATCTCCCACTGGGTCCCTCCCATGCTTCATGGGAATTGTGGGAGCTACAATGCAAGATGAGATTTGGTGGGGACACAGCCAAATCATATCATCTGTTACCTCCCAAATCTCATATCCTCACATTTCAAAACCAAAGATGTCTTCCTAACAGTGCCCCAAAGTCTTAACTCATTTCTGTATTAACTCAAAAGTCGACAGTCCAAAGTGTCATCTGAGCCAAGGCAAGTCCCTTTTGCCTATGAGCCTGTAAAATCAAAAGCAAGTTATCTACTTCCTAGATACAATGTGGGTACAGGTATTGGATAGATATGCCCATTCGAAATGAGGGAAATCAACCAAAACACAGGGGCTAAAGGCCCCACACAAGTCCAAAATCCAGTGGGGCAGTCAAATCTTAAAGCTCCAAAATGATCTCATTTGACTCCATGTGTCACATCCAAGTCATGCTGGTGGAAGACGCAGGTTCCCATGGTTTTGGGCGGCTTTACCCCAGTGGCTTTGCAGGGTACAATCTCCCTCCTGGCTGCTTTCACGGGCTGGCATTCAGTGTATGCAGCTTTTCCAGGCACACAGTGCAAGCTGTAAGTGCCTCTACCATTCTGATGTCTGGAGGATATTGGCCCTGTTCTCACAGTTCCACTAGACAGCTCCCCACTCAGGACTCTGTTTGGGGGCTTCATTTTCATTCTGCACTGCCTTAGCAGAGGTTCTCCAGGAGTGCCCTACCCTGCAGTAAACTTCTGCCTGGATATCCAGGCATTTCCAAACATCCTCTGAAATCTAGGCAGAGTTTTCCAAACCTTAATTCTTGACTTCTATCCACCCGCGGAAGTCCACACATGGAAGTTGCCAAGGCTTGGGGCTTGCACTCTCTGAAGCCATGGCCCCAGCTCTACATTAGCTCCTTTCAGCCATGGCTGGGGTGGTTGGGATGCAGGGCACCACATCTCCAGGCTACACACAGCAAAGGGACCCTGAGCCCAGGCCCATCAAACCATTTTTTCCTCCTAGGCCTCTGGGCCTGTGATGGGAGGGGCTGCCGTGAAGACCTCTGACATGCCCTGGAGATATTTTCCTCATTGTCTTGGGGATTAACATTCAGCTCCTCATTACTTATTCAAATTTCTGCAGCTGGCTTGAATTTCTCTTCAAAAAAATTTGATTTTATTTTATATTGGATTATCAGGCTTCAAATTTTTTGGACTTTTATGCTTTGCTTCCCTCATAAATCTGAATGCCTTTAACAGCACCCAGGTCACATCTTGAATGCTTTGCTGCTTCAAAATTTCTTCTACCAGATACCCTAAGTTATCTCTCTCAAGTTCAAAGTTCCACAAATCTCCAGGGTGGGACAAAATGCTGCCAGTCTCTTTGCTGAAACATAACAAGAGTCATCTTTGCTCCAGTTCCTAACAAGTTCCTCATTTCCATCTGAGACCATTTCAGCCTGGACTTTATGTCAATATCACTATCAGCATTTTGTGCAAATCCATTCAACAGGTTTCTAGGAAGTTCCAAACTTTCCCACATTTTTCTCTCTTCTTCTGAGCCACCCAAACTGTTCCAATCTCTGCCTGTTACCTAGTTCCAAAGTTGCTTCTACATGTTTGGGTATCTTTTCAGTGGTACTTCACCCCTGGTACCAATTTATTGTATTAGTTTGTTTTCACTCTGCTGATACGTACCCAAAAACGGGCAATTTACAAAAGAAAGAGGTTTATTGGATTTACAGTTCCACATGGTTGGAGAGGTCTCACGGTCATGGCAGAAGGTGAAAACCACGTCTCCTATGGCGGCACACAAGAGAAGAGAACTTGTGCAGGGAAACTTCCCTTTATAAACCATCAGATCTCAAGAGACTTATTCACTCTCATGAGAATACCATGAGAAAGACATGCCCCCATGATTCAATTATCTCCCACTGTGTTCCACCCATGACACATGGAAATTGTGGGAGCTACAATGCAAGATGAGATTTGGGTGTGGAAACAGCCAAACAATATCAAAGATCATTGTCTTAAACCTTAGCTAGCTAGTTTAAAAACATATTTTGTCTTGCCACTTGCTATCTCTTCTGTAATCACCTTCTACCTTCCTCTAAGCTTTATCATCTCCAGATTATTGCTGTAGATTGGTAACTGGCCTCCCTGTTCCACGTCGCTTCTGCCCTTGCTTATTAAAATGTAGTCTTCAAAACTGACAATTTTTTTTTTTAATACATAAACCAAATCCTGTTTGGAATCCAGGAAATTTGTACAGTAGCTTCCCACCTCCTTCAGAAAAGGATCCCAAATCTTTGCAGTGACTCATGAGACCCTGCCTAGTTTACAGATGGCATCTATGGGCTTTTCTCCCACCACTCTGATTCTCGCACGCTCCTCTTCATCCACACTGGAGTTTTTGCAGTTTCACTGCACCTCAAGAATGCAACAGCCCTGAGGACTTTGGGATTGCTTTTTTTTTCATTCTGGAATTTATATTCACTATGCACCCAAGTTGCCACAGGACTCATTCTTTTATTTTTTTCAAGCCCCTGTTTACATGTAAAACTTTAAAGATGTCTATCCTGCATGTTCAATTTGAAATAAGAAGCTTCCTTTCTTCCTGTATTCTTAATTCCGAATTCCCAATTTTATAGTTTTCTTCATAGTTTTTATCACTATCTGACATATTATGTTGGTGCTTAATTATTTTCTTGACAGTGAGAATGTAAGCTTTACAAATCTTGCTTTCTTCTACATCTACTGTGGCTAAAAATGCCTGACACTCAAGAAATATTCATTGAATGAGTGAATGAACAAATGTTGTATCCTGAGAAAAGAGTGCAAATTAGTGAGAGGGGCAATCCAGTTTGAGCCATTAGCATTTGGAAAATATTGTAGTATATAGATGAATACCGGGAAGATGGTGGCAAGGGTGGCAGTTTCTGAAACTTCTTAAAATTAAAATAGGCATTGCAAGGAATATAGCAAAACCAAAAACTCAAAAGACAGTATCTCTGACAAAACTTGATGACAATATGTGAGTAGGCAGGGCAGAGCACGGCAGTTACAAGCCCTACGTGCTGTGAACATGAGGTGTCTAATGGGTGTGAGAAGAGAAGCCCTCTTTTGCTAAGTGTGCACGGACATCTCTGAGAACTGGCTCACAATAATGGCTGGGGGTCATGAGAATCCAGCTGGCAAATGGAATGGAAGGGGATCCTAGTAAGTTTAGAAAGCCCGCTGTGCTCTGTGCACTTTTGAAACTCACAGTCTGAAGCTTTCTTCCAGAATAGTGCTCAACACTGAAAGGAGAATGATGTGAAATATCCAGAATAAAGGAAATACAAGATGAAGACAAAAGTGAGAAAGGATGCAGAGAAGGCAGATCTCAGGAAGCAGGGAGAATTTTTTTTTCTGTTTTTGATCATTTAATGAAAACTATAGAAGAGGATTTTAGAGCAACAGAGATAAAAAAATTGTCTTGCCCCTTCCCATGTTTCTAAAGGTACAGAAAAATTTATTTCACTTAAAATTTTTAAGAAAAGTATTACAATCAGAATCTATATACAAACACTAGGTGTAACATATCAAAATGAAAACACTTTTACAAAAGAAACTCACATAATATTAAAAATGGTAACCTAAATTTTTAAATGAGCAATTGATATTAAGAAGATGAGAGCCAAGAGAAAATCACACAAATCAGAATTATTTTTACAAATTAAAAATGAGATCATTGGTCTAAATGATGACTTGAAAAGAGGGGGTACACAAATAAAGAAAAAAAGGAAAGAACAAAATTTTAAGAAGTCAAGAAAAAGCTAGAAAAAACATAATACAGGAGCAAATAAACATAATGGACACTGTTTCAATAGTTACCTGAGATAGAAAGAATAATTTTTAAAGTTTAAAAATAAATGAGAGGAGGCTAGGTGTGGTGGCTCACGCTGCACTTTGGGAGGCTGAGGTACGTGGATAGCTTGAACCCAGGAGTTCGAGACCAGCCTGGTGAACACGCTGAAACCCCATCTCTACTAAAAACACAAAAATTAGCTGGGCGTAATGGCACACTCCAGTAATTCCAGCTACTCGGGAGGCTGAGACGGGAGAATCGCTTAAACCTGGGAGGCAGAGGTTGCAGTGAGCTGAGATCACATAACTGCACTCCAACCTGGGTGACAGGCATGAAACACTGTCTCAAATAAATAAATAAATAAAATAAACAAATAAATAAATAAAAATAAATGAGAGGTATAAAAATGTATTCAAGATAAAGCGATACTATGGAAGACTGACAAAATAATCTAATATATATTTAATAAAAGTCCCCAAAAGATAAAACCAAAACATTAGAACAGACTCATACTAAAACTATTGCTCAGTGAAATTTTCTTAAAATAACAAAAATAAGCACTAAATAATCTGAATATTTAAAATACAGACTGTATAACTAAAATATTCTGAAACTTTTGAAAGTAAAATAATTAGACATTTTAAAAAAATTGAAGATACAAATAAATAGGGAGATATATTTCTGTACATGGCCAGGAAGACTCAATTTTGTCATTATCAGTTCTTCCCAACTACAGGAAGGCAGACTCAAGGCAATCCCCATACAAATTTCAGCAAGGTATTTTGTGACTATAGAGAAGCTAATTCTAAAGTTTATATGGAGTACGGCACGGTGGCTCATGCCTGTAATCCCAGCACTTTGGGAGGCCCAGGCAGGGGGATCACCTGAGGTCAGGAGTTCAAGACCAGCCTGGCCAACATGGAGAAATCCCATCTCTACTAAAAATACAAAAATTAACCAGGCATGGTGGTGCATGCCTGCAGTCCCAGCTACTTGGGAGGCTGAGGCAGGAGAATTGCTTCAACCCAGAAGGTTGAGGTTGCAGTGAGCTAAGATCAAGTCATCACATTCCAGCCTGGGCAAAAAAGTAAGACTCTGTCTCAACAAATAAATAAATAAAGTTTATGTGGAAATAAAAGACCTAGAATAGCTTACCCCATATTGAAGAAAAACAAAAGGAAAGAATTGACATTACTCAATTTTAAAACCTACTATAAATCTGCAAAAATCAAGACAGAATGATATTAGTGAAACAACAGGCAAACAGATCAATAGAAGAGAACAAAGAGCCCAGAAATGAAATCACACAAATACAGTTAACTCATCATAGACAATAGAGTACAGGCAATTCAATGAAGAAATGAGGATTTTTTTCAACAAGTGATGCCAGAAAAACAGAATATCCACATGCAAAATAAAAAATATAGACACAGATGTTATACCTTTCACAAAAATAACTCAAAATTCTTCAAATACTCAAATGTAAAATGCAAAGCTAAAAAGCTTCTAGATGATAATATGGAAAAAATCTGTGACCTTGGGTTTGCTACTGCATTTTCAGATACAACGTAAAAAGCTCAAACCATGAATGAGAAATTGACAAGTTAGACTTCATTAAAATTAAAACTTCTGTTCCAAAAAAGATACCCTTAAGATAATAAAAAGACAAGCCACAGACTCAGAGAAGATCTTTGCAAAACACATATCTGATAAAGGAGAGTTATACAAAATATACAAAGAAATCTTAAAAATAAACAATAAGAAAAAAAACCAACTTTAAACAGACAAAAGATCTGGGCTGGGGGCAGTGGCTCACTTCTGTAATCCCAGCACTTTGGGAGGCTGAGGGGGGCAGATCACGAGGTCAGGAGATTCAGACCATATTGGCCAACATGGTGAAATCACGTCTCTCCTAAAAATTCAAAAATTATCTGGGTGTGGTGGCATGCACCTGTAATCCCAGCTACTTGAGAGGCTGAGGGCTGGGAGGCAGAGATTGCAGTGAGCCGAGATCTTGCCAACTGCACTGCAGCCTGGTGACAGAGTGAGACTCTATCAAAAAAAAAAAAAATCTGAACAAAAACCTTGCCAAAGAAATTATATAAATCTCTAGCAAGCATATGAGAAGATGCTCAAGGCCATGTGTCATTAGGGAATTGCAAACCAAAACAACAATGAAATACCACAGTGAACCTATTGGAATGGTCAAAATCCAAAACACTGACAACCTGAACTGCTGGTGATGATGTGTAACGACAGGAGCTCTGTTTCATTGTTGGTGGGAATGCAAAATGGTATAGCTAATTTGGAAGAAAGTTTGGCAATTTCTTACAAAAGTAAACATCTTATCATTTGATCCAACAAGTGAGCTTTTTTTGTATTTATGCAAATCAGTTAAAAACTTACGTCCACACAAACGTCTGCACACAAATATTTACAGCAGCTTTACTCATATTTGCCTGAACCTGGATAAAACCAAGATATCTTTCAGTCAGTGAATGGATACATAATCTGTAATACAACCAGACAATGGAATATATCTATCACAAAAAGAAATGAAAGATGAAGATATGTGTAACAGGAAAGGACCATATATGCAAAGTGACCCCTAATGCCAAAGGTGCCAAGATACCAAAGAAGAAGGCAGATGAATCCAGTTGTTTGGTATTGGTTGATTTATTAAGTGAAATTGCAGGCAGAAGCATGGTATAGAGGAGCCGTAAGACAAGTAGATCTCTGCACTGTTACTTCCCAGACCCAGGGCTTATATACCATAAGGAAAGGATATATGTACTCTAGCATGACAATTAAAGGCACTCTCCAGAACAGGCAAGAATACTATGTTTGTCATGGCCTATAATTTTGCAGTAAATTCGAGGTTACTTTGTTCTTACACTAGCACAGTAAATAAAGTAGGAATCAGGCGGCATTCATGGGACTGGGGCTAGTCAGAGTTTAACACAGCTGATTAGCATTCAAGATGAAGTTACTTTAGTCTCCACAGCAGGAAAGACATGGAGAAAACTTAAATGCATAATGCTAAATGAAAGAAGTCAATCTGAAAAGGCTACATACTGAATGATTCCAACTACATGACATTCTGAAAAAGGCAAAACTATGGACACAGCAAAAAGATCAGTGGTTGTCATAATCAATTTTTCCGGGAGTTAGAGGGGAGAGAGGGATGAATACACAGAGCACAGAGGGTTATTAGGACAGAGACACTCTTTTATATGATGCTGCAGTGGTTGATGTATGCTTTTGGTATGGACAAACCCATCAAGAGTGAAGTCTAATGTGAGCTACAGTCTTTAGTGTGAAAATAATTTATCAATATTTGTTCAATTATAACAACTGTAACACTGCAAGATGTTAACAAAACAGAAAATAAGGAGGGAGTCTGTGAAAGGGTAGACGGGCGTTCTCTGTACTTTCCTCTCAATTTTTCTGTTAGCTTAAAACTGCTCAAAAACTAATGTATTACTTGAAAAACATAAAAATAAAAATTACAGACATCGAAAAAATAAAAATCATTGTGTATCCAAGCAAAAACGTCTAAGATGTTCAGATTATCATAAGGTTCTAACAGCAACTCTCTATTCCATAAAGTAATAATATGCGAAAAAATGTGAGTAAAAGATTTTTATACCTAGCCAAACTTATCTTTAATTAGAAGGCCATGAAAACAAACATGTTTGAAAGTGGAAGAACTCAGAGAATACTATTTCCAGGAGACTTTCCCATGAATTTGCTAGACAAAAACAAGCTTCATGTAACTAAAATGGTTGAGGTGCATCTACATAAAAACTGATGAATTATTTCTTAGGCAGTGGTGTATTGAGGGGAGCACAAATAGCAGAAATTGCTCACCCTAGTACAGGGGTGTATTTTATCACTGTAATTGTTCCAAATTGCCAGTTCATGGTGTTAATACAAATCATACTGATCATAGGCAATTTTATTATTGTTTATATTCTCTACAAATAATGCATTGCCTTCTTATCTATATGCAGGACAGATCATCACCACCAGCCCACTTTGACACACCATATAAATTAGGCAGTATTTTGTTGAGTTGAAAATGAAACAGGAAGAAATCTTAAGAGAAATATAAAATACACACATCCTAAGGAGAAATTTTCCCTTCACTTTTGAGCACTGCTCTAAAAAATTCAGCTTCCTATTTTGAGTAGTTCATGACTGTATTCGTCAGTTCTCACACTACTGTAAAGAAATACCTGAGACTGGGTAATTTATAAAGAAAAAAAGGTTTAATTGGCTCATAGTTCTGCAGGCTTTACAGGAAGTATGGCAGCTTCTGCTTCTGGGGAGTCCTCAGGAAGTTTCCAATCATGGAAGAAAGGGAAGGCAAAGCAATACTCCTCATAGCAGGAGAAGGAGCGAGAGAGACAGTGGGAAGGTGCTGCACACTTTTAAACAACCAGATCTCAAGAGAACTCACTCATTTTCATGAGAGCAACACCAAGGGGATGGTGCTAACCCATTCATGAGAAACCACTCCCATGATCCAATCACCTGCCACCAGTCCCCACCTCCAACACTGGGAATTACAATTCAACATGAGATTTGGGTGGGGACACATATTCAAACCATATCAATGATAAATCTTTTAAAAATGGAGGCTGAAGAATGCACCCTTTATGTTGCAAAACTGTCACCGTCAGGACCCGTTGACTTTTCAGTAGAATGAAGCCTGCATAAAGACAGAAACTTCTCATAAATTGAACCACTCCTGATAAGAACAAGTAAGATTCTTATTCAAAATCCAAAAACCATAAACAAGATTTTACCCGAAGAAAGTAGAGAATTGAAGTGGGAAAAAATGATTTCTTGTTTATAGATTTCAAGAAATATTTTTACTTATTGTACAGAGTAATTGCACAATGAAGTGGATCATTCTTTATTATCTTCCCAGGATGGTCTCTCAATTGACCAAGATGAACACACACACACACACACACACACACACACACACACACACGCACACACACAGAAAGAGAGACAAACACACAGTGGAAGACACTACTGAACCAGGCATCATGTCACTCCTGTGTTTTGTTCTCAAATCTGTTACTAACTGGTTGTGTACCCTTAGGCCATTAAGTATAACATTGGAGTTTAGTTTCATCATTTATAACATAAATGAGGTTTGGAATACATTATTTCTAACATCTCTATGTGAGCTAAGCAGGAGTAATTGAATGGGAATCATGGTAAAAACAAGAATGAGTGAACAGAAAATCAGGCAAGTGAGTAAGATACAGTTATCAGGAATTGGAGTTGATCACATGATCCATGTAGAAATCTGTAATTGCCCTCTTTACATCTTTGAGCTTAGTTATAAAATGGGAACAAGTTACTTCACAAAGTTATTGTTATTGTGCAATAAGTTACATGACATTTCCCTGTAAAACATTAGGTGTATACTGAGATCATTAAACTGGATAGATATGAAACATTTTTAATGCCTCTGGGCTGCTTTGAAAATATGCTGAATTTGAAGCTTTAAAGTTTAGAAGTATGTGGAGTTTCAACCTTTGGAATCTAGTTAGATAAACAAACCTCTCCAGTACTGTATCATTTCACTCAGTTAAGAACCTCTAATTACCTTCCTGCATTCTCCCTTCCCTCTCCCACCCAAAATCAATCTTTTTTTTTTTTTTTCTCCAAAGGAAATCAGGTTTCTAGTTCAAATTTATGCCTCTGGCATCACCAATTACAACCAGAAATAATTTCCTTATTATTGTGGTAAACTTGGATGGACTATGTAAAAATTATGAGTTCCCCTTATCCTGGCCCAAAGGAGTATTTCATCATTTCTTATGAATCACGATAACTTTCAAATGGAAAACAAAACCACCTAAATGTCTTGCCACTTAGTAATTAAACAGGGAAAAGCTGGTGGACAAAGAATCTACACTAAGTCAACTTGCAGGGAAATGAAGGCCATGGCCATATTTTATCTTGGTTATCAACCTTTGAGGCTCACGGCATAGCATGTTAACTGAAGAGGCTAATGTGCACAGTGAGAAGGTGGTAGGGTAGATATGAGAAAAGTAAGAAAAAGTAGTATTATCAAGTGTTTTAACTAGTCAAGTCTTACTAGGGACTACCACATTTATGTTCTTTCTGGCAGAACTACAGTTAACTGAAATGTAGCTCTGGTTTCCGCAGCTGAATGTAAGTTATATTTAATGGGCTGGGAACTGGACTCTGTTAATCATCGTGGAAATGAGATGCATGCAATTGCCATTCCAAATCTATGACCCAGTCACTGATGTATCTTTTAAATCTGATGCACAAAGACAAACTTGAATTTGAAATATGACTTCAATGGGAAATATGTTTTCAGAGGGGATATATGAATATGCATATGTGGAAAGAAGGAGAAAAGATAAAGGATTATTATAAGACTTAAAGCATGTTAATATAGATATTTTTCAAATGCCTTCAAATTATGCAGATTTGGTTCATAAGAATTAGAATTTACATTAGTTAACAAATTGTTCCCACATAGGAGCTTTGAACTAGGAACTCTCAAATGTATTTCTTTTAGCCAATCTGTTTTATGAAGTGATGTCCACAGACTCTCTACCTCATTATGTGCTGTGGACTGAATTGTGTTTCACCCTAAATTTATATGTTGAAGCCCTTACTCCTACTATGATTGTATTTGGAGCTGGGGCCATTGGGAAGTAATTAAGTTTAGGTGAGGCAGTGAGGCTGGAGCCCCCAAGCTGGGATTAGTGCCCTTATAAGAAGAGACACCACACAGCTTGCCTTCTTCCTCTGTCTTTGCCCTGTGAGGACACAGCAATAAGGTGGTCTTCCCTTTGCAAGCCTGGGAGAAAGCCCTCACTACCCAAACCAAACCAGTCTCCCATAGCCCCATCTTCAAACATTTCTAAAATAAAAAATAAGGCTTCTGAAACATTTGGCATTCAGCAGCCGTTGTGTAATACTCAAATGGATATAAATGTGCTGTGGGGATTTTGAAAACAAAAAGGAAAAACTCACTAACAACTTTACAGTAACATCCCATCCTGAAATGTGCCTGAAAAAAATAGTACAATACAAGAAGACAACCTGCAATGCTGGTGATAGTACAGAACTTTTGACTTCAGTCTTAAGATTTCATAATTAGTTCTGTGAGCTGCTGGCACTTTGATACCACTACATTTGGTGACATAATTCAGACATTTTTTTAAACAAGCATATGATGAAAGGTCAAAAGATGAAAGAATCAGCAAAAATACACTGCGGAATTTCAGCAGTTTTTCAGATTTTAAATTGTTCTTAATTATTTTGTAATATAATAAGATCCCATGGTAACAAAAATTTTAAAAGGCATAATTCTAATCTATACATGACAGCTTAAAATCAGCCTTTCCCCCTTATGTTCCTAGTAATTTAGAAAAAAATATGCAGATTCAAAGGTTGGCAAAACTAGAGATGGATTCCAAGTCGAGTTTCTACAGGAGATGTATGGTAGGAAGCAGAGAGCAGCTGCGGAGAAAGACCAGTGCTAACAGGTCTCTAACGAATTAACAAGACTATATTCCCTGAAGGTGAAGCAGCACAGTGTAAAAGCTATGTGTTGTGTCTACAAAATGGATATAGGAAGTGGATCCCTAGAGCTGTTATATTTTACAAATGCATAGAGGTTCATACTATACAAAGAATGACATAAGCAAGCCATATTTTTAGACTGCAACCTATCTGTTCAGCAGCTGGAAAGAAGAGGTCCTTTGCTTATGAACACCAATTAGCCTGAAATACTTCCTTGCCCCTTACTCTATCACAAGACTCTGCAAGAAATAGCTTCTCTAGGAAACCCAGTCCTTTCAATAATGAATAATTGAGAGGAGCCAATTAAATATCAATATAAGAGTGTCATATGAATAAAGAAAGCAGAAGAACATGATTAGTAACAGACAAGAAACTGCTCACCACATAAATGTCATGTAAGAAAGGACAATTGAAATCACAGGGGTTTTTTTAGTGAAATATAAAGCAATTAATTATAAAAAGTAAGAATACAAAGCAGAAATCTAAGAACTTATATGAGTTTGAAGACAGCAGATAGCTGAAATTGAGCTCACAGAACTCCATTCTGAAAAAAAAAGAAAATGTAAAATTGCCACAGAAAGAAAGTAAAATTGAAGAAAACATAGTTGAAAAAATATTAAGAAAGGATAATAAGAGATTCAGAAGCTGGAAATGAGACAAGTAAACAAAATGTGTTGGAAATAAATACTTTTTTAAAACAATTAAGAAAAAATAATAGAAACAAAGCACAAATTTGATTAAATATATGTATAGCTGGAGTTTCTGAAGTGGAATTCAACTATTATAATAAATAATTATAATTTAGGAACATTTTCTAAAATTAAAGATGCCACAAAACTCCTCCAAAGAGCATCCACTATACCAGGAAATATTTACCCACATTTGTCAACACTGGAATATACATTACTTAAGTTGCAGAACTTAAAACTTAAAAAAAAATTCCTATAGTCACTTTTAAAGGGAAAATGGCGTCAGGCTCTAGTCACTCCATAATAGTCAAGAACAGATGACAATGGAGTGATAGTTACAAGATCCTGAAAAAAAGACAGTGTAAGCCAAGGACAAACTTAACAGTCCTCAAAAACAAATGTTTTAGTTGGATAGTTTTGAGCATGCAAACTTTCTATCTGGGGAAAACTACTGAAGAAAAACCTTAGTCAATTCAAATATGACTGGTGAAACTATAAGAAAACTTAGTGCCAATAAATCTGCACTATGCAAATGTTAAAGGAAGTTCTTCTAGCAGAAGAAAAATAACACCAGATGGAATCTTGGAAAAAAATAGCTCCAAATATGGGATATTTGAAGTTAAGAATGAAGGAGATTTTTAAAAATTTTATTTGAAGAAAAATTGAAGGAAAAATAATAATGTATTGTTGGATATATAACATGTGTAGAACTAAAATATAAAATACAATTTATACAAGTATAAAAGGGAATAAATGAAAGTATAAGTTCTTATATAGGAAGAGCTATGTTACTATTTGAAGTCAGATTATAATGAGAGAAGACAGACATTATTAACCCAAGAGCAGCCACTAAAATTTAAAATTTAGTAGGAGGTTAACAGGCAATTGGAGATAAAACAATATACTCAATATTTTTGTCTAAAGAAAACAAAAAATAGGGGAAAAAGGAAAATCAGCAGATAGAAAACAAATAACCAGATGATTCTTTAAAATCCAACCATACACTACATTAAGTGTAAATGAAACAAATATTCTAATTAGAAGAGCTTTTCGAAAAGAAAATTTGACTTTGTGCTGTCTAAAAGAATCTCATTTTAATTTAGAGATTAATATAGGCTAAAGTAAAAAGAAAGCAAGATGATATAATAGTACAAAATTATTCATAATAAACTGGATAGCTGTATTAATGCCTGGAAAAAGAGACTCTAAACATAATATCACAGATTATAAAGGAAATTTCATAATAATAGGTTAATTATTTATCAAGAAGATATAATAATCCTAAATGTTTATAACATTTGTAACAGAGTTTCTAAATATATAAAGTTAAAAAAAATGACCGAATTGAAAATACAACAGACAAATTTACAATTTTAGGTGGGGATATTAAACACTCCTCAGTAATTCATTGTCTATAGGTAATAATGATATAGAAGACTTAACATAGTCAGTTAACTTGCTTTAATTGACATTTATAGAACATGCAACAACTGCAGAACAAATATTATTTTCAAGTGCACATGGTACATTCACCAAGAGAGATAATAATTAGTAATCAGGTGAGTTTCAATACAAAAGTTTGATCTTGCATACAACATGTTCTCTTATAATAATGAAATTCATTTCATAAAGATATTTGGAAAATCTCTAGTATTGGGATGTTAACATACTTCCAAATAAAATATAAAATAAAAGAAATAGCATGGGACATTTTAAAATACTTTGAACTAAATAAAATTAAAAGGCAACTTATTAATAATTGTGGAGTATAGTGGTTTGCTATACAATTTTAGCTTTGAATTATTATACTGGAAAAAAAAGGTCTAATATTATAATCTAAGTTGCTCTCCTCAGAAACCCAAAATATAAGACCAAATTATGTCTAATGTAAGTAGATGAAAAGAAAATATAATAATAAAATTAAAGTCAATGAAAGAGAAAAAATATAGAAATGTCAATAAAATAAAAATTGATGCTTTGAATTGAATAAGAAAATTGATCCATCTTTGTGTATCAATAAAGAATAAAAGAGAAAATATAAATGACTGATTCAGAAATAATAGAGGGGATATGGCTAAAGACATTAAATGAATTATAAAGGTTTAAGATGAGCAACTTTATGACAATAAAAAATGCACATATTCATTACCACTCAGCATATGAGGTAAAGTTGTAATATAAAATTTGATGTCTAATTTTATTATCTATGTTCTTAATTTTTATATGAATTGCTGCCAATTTTATTGCTTTCTTTTAAATATTTCAAAAACTATAACTTATAGGATTGCCAATAAGTAGAAAACTTAGATACTACCTTTTCCCATCCTTTATTTTATTTCAGTGTAAACATGGCTTTTATTTAACTATTTATATTTTCTTTAATAAAATTTTTAAGAAATTGTACAGGTTTCATAACATTTTATTGTCATCCTGTGCTTAGATTTTTCTGCCAGAATGGAAAAAAAAAAACATATTAATGGGCTAAAGAGAGAGGGAAAGTGAGTAGAAGGGACAGCATGTAAGAATGATCTAACATTAGAAATAAGTGCATTTTTACCTAAGAAATTTATTGTTAAATCTATGATTATATATTAAAAGAGGTCTCTGATGATAGTCTGTTTAGCCCATGATGGTATCCAAAATGTAGTAACAAATTTATTTTATAAAGACCATGTGACTCATTTCAGTGGTGCCATTAAAATCATTGATTTTTAGAACACATAAATGAATGGATAGTTTGTGGCCCATTTTATCATGACTTAAATTGATTAATTTATTGACTACCTTTCTCCTCTGGGCAGAAATATTCTTATCTATCTCCTGTCTGTCACTCAATAAACTAACCAGGACTAATAAGTACTCCTCACATCTGAATATTTAATTAGAACAAGAATAAATAACTGAAAGTGTTAATACACAGAGAAAGAAGTCCAGTCAGTTTGATCATCTACCTTCCTTACACTGCAGAGTGTGTTAGTTCAAAACTCCACTTGAGCATCTCCCACATGCTGGGATAGGTACCATCATGCAGATGCTTCCTAAAATTAGCTAGTAGGTGAATTTTTTTTTACCAACAACTTAGTCACAACGTATGATAAAACGCCCAGGTATTCTAAAATGCCACACATGTTGAGGCATTCCTTTCAAGAAAGGCATCAGAACATCTTTGTGCAGGGATTGTTGTTTATGTGTGACCTGTAATGAAGTTCAGGTCTATCCAACAAGGAGTAATGAAGAAACAGGGAGTAGGAGGTAAAACAGTACAATATAAATAAGCATGGAAAGCAGTGAATGGCAGGTGTTTTGTGATTAGTATATTAATACACTGGCAGCACAGAGGGTAGTTTCAGTGAAGAGGTATTTTGACATCAAATGCAGAGCACCTTTATCATTATGCTGATGAGTTTAGAAAAGATTAAATTGCAATTATGGTTGGGGTCTTCCACAACAGTCCAATTGAGAATGAAGATCTTAAATGTCATTATCATGGCTGGAAGGAACAGAAGATAACAGACAACAAGGGAAAATTTCATTTTGAAATGGTGTGGGGAAATCCATATTTTATGTCAGAATTTTTAGTTGTTCAAATTAAACCTTGAAAAAATTTGAAATATGTATTCACTTGTAAATTTAGAACATCTATATAAGACCCCATAAAAAAGCTAAGTGTTATTCATCCATAAAAAAAGAATGGAATTCTGTCATTTGCGGCAGCATGAATGGAACTGGAGTTCATTATAATAAGTGAAATAAGCCAGGCACAGAAAAATAAATATTGCACTTCTCACTCATTTGTGGGAGCTAAAAAGTGTATTTCAATAGGCAAAGAGCAGAATGGTGGTTACCAGAGGCTGGAAATAAAAGAGAGGAGGAGGGAGATGAAGAAAATTTGTTCAATGGGTACAAAAATACAGCTAGATAAAAGGAATAGGTTCTAGTATTTGATAACATAGTAGGAAAAGTATAGTTAACCACAATTTATTGTATATTTTTAAATAGACAAGAAGAATGGTAATGTTCTCAACACAAAGATAAAATTAATGTTTGGGGTTACGGATGTCCCCATTATCCTGATTTGATCACTACACATTGTATACATGTACCAAAATATCACATGTATCCTAAAATAATTATGACTATGATATAGCAATTAAAAAGCTAAGTGATAAATAAAATTTTGATAAAATATTTTAATACAAGTAATTAGCTGAAGTGTTGATATCTTATATAGATAGGCATGTGTGTATATTTAAGTATGTGTGCACATGTATTATGTTGACGCAAAACATAAAAATTGTGGGTTTTGCCTTTGGAAGTGATAGCAAAAACCACTATTACTTTTACACAAACTTAGTATGTAGAAAGTTTAAAGTAAACAACCCAATAGGAAAATAAACAAAGATTCTTGATATGGTTTGGCTGTGTCCACACATAAAATCTCATCTTAAATTGTAATCCCCCAAATCCCCACATTTAGAAACCATGTGGTGGTAATTGAATCATGGGGGCAGTTTCCCCCATGCTGTTCTTGTGATAGTGAGTGAGTTCTCACGAGATCTGATGATTTTGTAAGTGTTTGGTAGTTCCTCCTGCATTCATTCTCCTTCCTGTCACCTTGTGAAGAAGGTTCCTTGCTTCCCCTTACCCTTCTGCCATGATTGTAAGTTTTCTGAGGCCTCCCCAGCTAGGCTGAACTGTGACTCAATTTAACCTCTTTCCTTTATAGATTACCCAGTCTTCGGCAGTTCTTTACAGCAGTATGAAAACAGACTAATACAACTCTGAATAGGTAATTCACAGAAAAATAAATACAAATAACAGAAATATTCATAAAAACATGTTTAACTTTTCTAGTAATAAGTTGCAAATAGAAAAGAACATAAACCATTATTTTTGCTATTTAATTGTTAAAACTGAAAATGTCTGAAATAGCACAATGTTGGTGAGGTCATGGGAAACCAGACATGTTCTAGCATTCTGCAGTGGGTAAGAAGACAGGCTCTGAAATCATGATGATGAGGATTCAAACTATTTTCTAGCTGAGTCACTTTGGGTAATCTGCCTATCAGATCTTAGCCCTCAGTATTTCCTCTTTCTGAAATTCACTCACTCAGTCATCACCATGGTTCTCTACCTCACTTGATGTAGTTTGCTACTAAAATACTAGCATATTATAACTGTCAACCTGATCACATGTTTAAAGTAGCAACACCAAATTTTATATTATTACTCATCATTCCTTACTCTATTTCCTTACTCTATCTAAATTTACCTGTTAATTTTAGATAACCAAGAAAATGTATTTATTTTAACTACTTATCTCCTCTGGTAGATTATAAACTCCATGACCTTGGGGCTTATCCATGTCTTCGTTCACCAAACAAAATAGTAAACATAGCAGAGCAGACATTCAATAGCTATATACTTTTTAAAGAATATCTGACCTGTTATTATCAAATAATCAGTGAGAGAGTTTAAGTCGGAGTGAGATTATCGTATATCCAAAAGCTATTTTTGAATAAATGAATACATGAGTAATAAACAGCTGGGGGCCTAATTTTTCTCACTCATAAAATCAGGATAATAACAACTGCTTGCTGTGGTCATTTTGAAGGTGTTTAAATATGATTCATTGTCTAGCACAGTTTTTGCACATAGCTATCACTAAACATGTAATTGAAATTTTTATTTCTTATTGCTTTTCTACAATTTCAGTGATTTTCCTTTTTGAATAATCGAATTAGTGAAAATAATTTATTTTAATGCTTCCTTAGGACTGCTTTCTTTCTAAATGTATCTTGTTTAGGTCTTCTGATTGCACATATCATTGGTTTCAATATTTATTTTTTATATTGCTGTAGGTTAATAAAGGTTTTAAATTGCTGTGGGTCTTCATTAGGAAATTACATTGAAAAATATTTTGGGTAGCATAGTTTATGAGGACTAAGCTCTGATTTTTATCTTGCCCAAATTCCTACCTAAGGGGTCTGGAGAGTCACGTCCTAGAAATCATAAATTCTCATCAGGTTGGTTATGTAACCCTGTATATTGTGACTTACTTTCCAACATGACTCTGACATAACATTACGAGACAAGGAAGAAAATAAAAATATTTTACCCCAAAACATGTATCTTTGCCATATCTTGAAATGCCCTGCAAAGCTATACTTTGTAGGGGAAAATTTGCATCTGTGAAGAATCTCTATGAACATAGCTAGATCTTTTTCCTTCGGGCCCTCTCAATCCTAAAGAGATTAACTAAAAATCTAGCACCTTAAAGATCCAAATACAAAACATTTGTCATCTACTGTCTCTAAGGGCAGCCACTATAAGACTTCAAAAGAACCTTGGTGTCCACAATCTTTTATTTTAACATGAATATTTCCTTTCTATCCATCCTAGGTCTTTAGACAACTCAACCAACTGTCAACCAGAAAATATTTAAATTTACCTATAGCCTGGAAGCATTCCCCCCTCCCCAGCCCCTGCTTTGAGTTGTCCCACCTTTCTGAACCAAGCCAATGTACTTCTTAGATGTATTTGACTGATGTCTCATGCCTATCTAAAATGTATAAAACCAAGCTGCGCCCCAACCACCTTGGGCACATGTTCTCAGGACTTCCTGAGAGCTGTGTCATGGGCCATGGTCACTCGTATTTGGCTCAGAATACATCCTTCAAGTATTTTATAGAGTTTGACTCTTCTCATTGACATTTAAAATACTATTGAATAATGATCTTTAATCACCATTGTTATGATGATTAACAATTGCAGTAACTGAAGGATACAGACTGTCTGCATCAATAGTACAAACATTCTTTGATAGAATTATTTTCTGCCAAAGATTATGTTCATTTATTACAAAGTACATAGGACAGGAGGTTTACAAAATGTAAAATTTAAGAAAGGTTGCTATATCTGATCTTGATACATTATTAGATATTTTCAGTGTTCCTGGTAATATTTTGTTGTTGTTCTTTCAAATTTGCTGTCATGGGAAAATGATCATAATACCAATATTTTTTGTTTTATTCAAGAGATTGAGAACTGTCTGAGGACAGCTGCACACTTCTACTCATGTGATTGATTTCAACGCAACTCAGATAGTGGTTAAGGAAATTTAAGAATTATGATCTCATAGGTAGAGGATGTTTGACTTTACATTGCTCTGTGCTCCAGTAAATGAACCCTGAGAATTAGGCCACCCTAGAGAGGCTTTATAACCTCAGGCTGACTCTGATTTTGGAAAGCCATTTACTTTCAGTGTTCTCATGTATAAAATGTGGACTGCTTGGATAATCATCACTTCTTATCTAGATCTATGATCCATTCCTTTATAACTTGCTTTTATGACTCCATGAGTGGGACAGCCAGTTCTGCATAAACATCTGCAAATCCTTGCTGAAATTCTGGGAATTTCCTTGAGTGACTGATTAAGATATACAGTCAAAGGAAGAATATTTTATAAAAGCAGTTTTGGTAATCTTGAAAATTTTTGTGTCGGTATAGAGAAATATATATTACACCTCTAAGGAACAGTTGAAAATGTACTTCTTTAATATTTTCCTATAGGTCATATCACATTAGTCAGAATTATTCTCTCCTGTGAATTCCTACAGTGTTTTAATATACGCATCAGTCATATGAAATGTTAAGGACAGGGATTTATTTTTCACTTAATCCTGATTATGTCTGATCAACCTTTGTTTATAAACATATTTTGTGAGAATTTGAGATACTCAAAGTCAAAAATTGAAAAGGTGTTCTTTTGAAGAAAATATGGACCCAATGCATAAATTTTATCAAAATCTTAATGTAATCATATCTCCTAAAGCCTGGAATTAAATGTCTGTCTTTCATTGTTCAAAAACTAAAACTTATTTTCAAAATAGTTTCTGATGACTCTGACAGGAAACATTTGCCTGAACATGTTAATTATTTTATTAACCCTTGTTAAAATGTTATGGCAAAGAGCAGGTTAGGAAACTATTATGAGTGAAATCATTTCAGTTGCAATTGTTTGCAGATTAATTTTACCAAGAGATGTTGGCACCCCAGAACATATTTTTCTCATTACCATGGGGAGGAGTGAACAGTAGCAAACTTTAGTTCATAAGCAAGGACCACAGGACAAGAAGCTTTTAACAAATAACATAGATCTGATGGGCAGAGCTTAAATAAATAAGAAGAAAAAGGATGTCTTGAATTTTGGAGGAGGAAATTTTTCCACACTGAGCAAGCAAATTAATTGAGATACAGGTGAAGAAGCTCTCCTCTGGTGAGTTCCATATTCAGGAAAAGACAGGGTCCCCTAGAATGACATCTTTGGTCAAGAAATGCTAGAGAGTTCTGTTCTCAAGTCCCAGGCATTTTTCCACTCTCTCTCCTATATTTTCTTTCCATTTTCCAATGAGCAAGTTCTTAAAGATGTATTTTTTAGCAAGGAATGCAGTTTTTATTTATTCTGATTACTGTGAAGACTAAAGTTTGAGAATTGTAGGAGAGTCTTACAGAGCTATTAGCCTCTTTGATGTCTTGCAAGATTAAGTTTTTGTTCACATCTCAAATACTAATCTTTTTTTCCCTTTTATTAGAATTACCCATACTTTCATCAAATCTTCCTTTTGACTAAAGCTACATACATGAAAAGAGAGAACATTTTGGGGGCAAAAATTTAGTTGTTCCTCAAAATATTGGTGTTTGCAATGCAATGAATAGGCAATTGCCTAGTAATACATGTTGTTAATGAGGTTTTAGCTTTTATTTATACCTCAAATCAATTTATTTGGGTGATTTAAAAATTCAGGGCTTTTATCTCTTTGATCATATCATGTTTATATCCTGAAATATATATTTCTTTATTTCTATCTTATCATCACTTTCACATAACATATCTGTTCCCTATTTAGACACTATTACCATTTTGTATACATCTTTTTGGTAAAAAAAAAAAAAAAAAAAAGATCAAAAGCTGAGTAAATAGGATTCCCAAGGTGAGATCAGATTAAATAATACCATTTTACCCTGAAGTCTAGAAGTCATTTGAATCTTCCTCCATATTCTATATATTTATTAACTGATAAGAAGCAAATACTACAATATGTCACTCTTATTCACATGTCTCACTTATTCATGTATCTCACTTGGAATAGTGTAGATAATTTAAAATAACAAATATTGGAAGGCTGAGGCGGGCAGATCACAAAGTCAGGAGTTTGAGATCAGCCTGGCCAGCATGGTGAAACTATTTCTCTACTAAAAATACGAAAAATTAGCCAGGCATGGTGGTGTGCTCCTGTAATCCCAGCTACTCAGGAGGCTGAGGCAGGAGAATTGCTTGAACCTGGGAGGCGGAGGTTGTGGTGAGCCGAGAACAAGCCATTGCACTCCAGCCTGGGCAACAGAGCAAGATTCCATCTCAAAAAAAAAGAACAAATAATCTTGAAATAATTTACATTAATCTTTGTTGGGTGTGATAAGTTTTGTAATACTTAAGTACAAGTTTCTGTCTTACTAGTTGATTTTTTTTGTATTCTAATATTAAAAAGTACTTGTTAATGTGTATTAAGATTAAGCAGCTAGGTTAACAAAAGCCAATCTGTACTGAATTAATATTACATACCCTTCAACAGTTAACCGACTAATTAATCTCATATGTTAGAAGATCTACCACATCCCAGCCTCTGGTCTAGAATAGAAATAAGGCATCATATGTTTCTTGCTCTTTCCAATTCATGCTCTCATCCTTTAAGTAGACTCTCATTTCTTTAAGGAAAATTTTTCCAATTTCCCAAACTATTACTCAATGATACAGACAGTACTCTGAACCTCTCTTCCACATTATAGATACCTTTTGAGAGTATGTATTCATGAATGCAAGTACCACGATGAAGGTGCTATGGTTTGGATATTTGTTTCCTCCAAATCTCATATTGAAATTTGGTCCCAGTGTTGGTGGTGGGGTCTGATGGAAGGTTTTTGGGTCATGGAGGTGGGTCCCTCCTAAATAGATTAATGCCCTCCCTCAAGGTGAGTGAATTCGCACTCTATAAGTGGCCTCCAGAGTTGGTTGTTTAAAAGAGAGCCTGGCATCTCCTCCATCTCTCATTTGCTTCCTCTCTGGCTGTGTGGTCTCTGCACACTCAGGCTCCACTTCACTTTCTGCCATGAGTGGAAGCAGCCTGAGGCCCTCACCAAATGCAGATGCCTAATCTTGAACTTTTCTACCTATCAGAATTGTGAGTCCAATAAACTTTTTTCTATATAAATTATCCAGACACAAGTATTCTTTTATAGCAACACAGAATGGACTAAGACAATGGGAATTTTGTCTGCCTACTTTAGTACTAGATTCAGGAACAGTTCCTGGCAAACAGTAGATGCTCAATAATTATCTGTTAAATGACATTAAGTCAGGCAATATTTAAATCTTCTTCTAGACTATTGGAACAATAGAGACGTGATCACCTTTTTGTTGTCTAGTGCTGTGCTTAATGTGGGGTATGGAACATGGTAGGTGCCCAATAGATATCTCTTTTTATGAGCTTATTACTTTATTACAAAGAATGTTGCAGCATTATAAGCATTCAGTTAAAATGGAAATTGTGGGATTCCTAAAATCAAGATACTTTTAAATGTAGGATGTAATTAAAAAGATGATTAATTTTTACAAAGCTGAGATAAGAATCATACCCAGGATAGGATGTAAAATAAAAGAGAGCTGAACTGTGTGAGCTACACAGCGTTGTAGTATGTTTCTTTAATTTAGGATGAGATCCTCAATAGCTCTGCCCCTCAGGACCATTTAGTACTTTATTTTTTCTTATCTCTGCTGCTTCACATAGATGTAATATTTAAGTAAAAATCACTGTTCAATGAATACTTTTAAGAGCTGAACTGTTTAAAATAACTAAATTATCTCACTTTGTTTCAAAAACATTTCACTATAAATATGTTATGTATTAAAATCAATAACAAAATTAAAACAGACTAACATCATAGGAATATTATTTTATATGTGATTGGTTAAAAGGCACTTTTAAATAAATATTACTTCATGATAAAAGGTGATATTTTTCTAATTACTTAAATCCCAAAATCTTTAAAATTATTATCTAAACCTGATCATATAGGAAGATCTTGATTGGAATTAATGTTTAAACCTTTTTGGGGTTTGGTCAGTATACTAGGCTGTGAGCTTACTTATCTCATAGTTGTCATATTTATGACTATCTAGGTACAGTACACACTAATGCCATAAGCAATCTGGCTATATTTTTGCATAATTTTTTCAGTTGAAAGTAAGAGAAAGAAAGGAAAGAGAAAGTTGGTATAATATTTCCTGTGAGGCATAAAATATATTTCTGCTTATACTGAGTGGCATAGGCTTTTTTTGTGTTTTATTTATTTTTTTCTTATCATTTATTTCTATAAGTAGCCCACATACATCACTGTAGTGACCAGTTACTGGGATAGTAAATGGTGAAGGATGAGCATGTTTAGGGAGAGAAAATGAGTTTAGTTTTGAAAATGTTTAACATGTCTGTGAAATATTCAAAGGGAAATTTCTAACAGACATTAAGATATATCATTCTGGAAATACAGTTGGCATTCTGTGTTGGAGATACAAATTTCAGATCACTTGAGATCATGAAACAACAGAAAAGATGGAAAAGAGATATGGTGTTAGAAGAAGGGGAGTAGTTATATGTGTTGAATGCTACTGAAAGTTCAGATCTTTTTTTTAAATTTTATTATTATTATACTTTAAGTTTTAGGGTACATGTGCACAATGTGCAGGTTTGTTACATATGTACACATGTGCCATGTTGGTGTGCTGCACCCATTAACTCATCATTTAACATTACGTATATCTCCTAATGCTATCCCTCCCCACTACCCCCACCCCACAACAGTCCCTGGAGTGTGATGTTCCCCTTCCTGTGTCCATGTGTTCTCACTGTTCAATTCCCATCTATGAGTGAGAGCATGAGGTGTTTGGTTTTTTGTCCTTGCGATAGTTTGCTGAGAATGATGGTTTCCAGTTTCATCCATGTCCCTACAAAGGACATGAACTCATAAAAACCCTAGAAGAAAACCTAGGCAATACCATGCAGGACATAGGCATGAGCAAGGACTTCATGTCTAAAACACCAAAAGCAATGGCAACAAAAGCCAAAATTGACAAATGGGATATAATTAAACTAAAGAGCTTCTGCACAGCAAAAGAAACTACCATCAGAGTGAACAGGTAACCTACAGAATGGGAGAAAATTATCACAACCTACTCATCTGACAAAGGGCTAATATCCAGAATCTACAATGAACTCAAACAAATTTACAAGAAAAAAACAAACAACCCCATCAAAAAGTGGGTGAAGGATATGAACAGACACTTCTCAAAAGAAAGTTCAGATCTTTAAAGTGCTTAGTATTGTTCTTGGCATGTGAAGAATGGTCAGTAAATATCAACTATGATAATGACCCTGATGATTCTACAGCCAAGAAAGAAGAGGGCATAAGATGTCCACTATATTTCTTCTGACATTATCTTCAAAATCTCAATTATGCATAGGTGAGAACACAGCTGTTTATAACCATCCCCTCTCTCCCTTCCTTTATTCCTTCTTCTTTCCAGAATTCTCTCCTTCCTTCTTTCCTCCCCTCTTTGCTTCCTCTTTTCTTTCTTTCATTTTCTTCTAATCATTTCTTCTCCTTTTAAACAACTTGGTTTCCTAATTTGTTTACCATGTCACTGATTTTGCTGTCTATGGAATAAATTCTAAACTCCCTGTGTATGAATATTATTTAGTTTAGTCATTGAAATTTATTCTCCTTAAAATATTTCCATGTTTGTCTTATTTTCTTATATGTTTAAATTTCTACTAATTTCTTTATATAAAATCTGTTATCTAATTGTTGTATCTTATACCTGCTTTATCACACACTCTTTCTTGCATTTAATTGAAAATTGAATGAGGTGCTTTCCAAAATTTTCCTCTGATTTTGGTAATCCTTTTCCCCCTGAAATTGATTCTTCATCTTTGCAATTTGAGTGCATTCTTTATCTTGGCATGTTGAATGCAATATTCATTTTCTTTTATATGACAGTATAATCTAGAACCTTTCTAATCCTATTTATTTTTGAATGTGGAAATATAATCAAGTATAGTTTTTGCCAGCAAACAGTGAGTAAGTTTGCTTTGCTTTTCCTTTTACTGTCCATAAGTGTGCTATAAGAAACCTCTTCTCAGGTAATAAATAGGAACGCACTCCTATGAACAACCTCAAGCTCAATTTCAAGCTCCTGTCTCCTTTATATGCCTCTCTTGGACAGAGGAAAGATTTTCCTATGTTCTTACTTGCTGCCTGGTGGTCATAGTACTTTTTGCATAGTAAGCTGAAGCCAGTTACTCCATCCCTTGCCAGAAGTCTCCAGTGAATATCATAAAATACTATAAACCACCCTGTTTATTGCTTCTTGCTTTTCATTCCTTCCTAGTCTTATAATTATCAATGAGGCAACCTCTTACTGCCTGTCCCTTTCCTTTTCTTGCTGTTTTTCACTGATGACCCTTTGCCCCTGGTTTGTATTTTATGGTTATTTCATGGGATGTTGAGAATAAGGATTAAGTATTACCACATAGCAATAATCATAACAGAAGGGCTGTGTGTGTATATATACTGTGTGTATCAGGTTTGTTTTGGGGGTTTTTCTTTTGCTCGATGTATTCAGTTACTTATATGATTATGAGAAGCATCTCTAAAGTCTACGACAGCCATGAGAATCACTTCTTATTGAAACCTTAAAGCACATGGGCATGATCTTTAAAGATTCTAACAGATCTAATTATTTTCACATAATGTTTTGTACTTTTCAACTCTATTTTCTAGGTCCTAAATTATTTTCAAGCTGAGCAAGAGCATCATCAACATACTCAAGGTATGGATTAAAGAGATCATTTTCAAGTTCACTCTATTTTATCTTCCTTTTATAATATTCATGTTCCTTCTGACAAATCTATTCGTTTTCACATTTATAAATTTCCCTAATTTTTAGTCTTTAAACTTTCTAATCACTATTTGCATATTAAAGAATACATTCAGTTCAATATTTTAGGTATATTAGCTCTTGATTAATGCTATTTTAACAAAAAATTGCTGAGTTACACATTTTGCAAAGAAAATAATAATTAGTTTTTCCCTATTGAAGTTATACAAAATTTTGCTCTTCTGTATTGGAATTAATGTAGTGCGATGCTTTTCTACTCTTGTTTGCTCAAGTAATAATACTTTTCAGTCATGGCTACAATGTTAGATCCAAAGGGTTGACACAAACTCTAAATCAGAAACATCAAAGACCTTCCCAACAATATTTCAATCTGGATTATAATAAGTGTTACTTTTTTCTCTTTTCTGGTGAAAATTTCCAAGCATGTGAACCTCAGCTTACAAGTAGCTGTAACTTCTGTTATGAAAATAGATTTGACATCTTTCTTCCCTGCAGTTGCTTAAGACAAGAATATTTATTTTATAACCAAGCAAATTTGAAGTGACCATTGTTCCTTTTAACAAAAGAATTCTGTAGAATATAGTTTTAAAAACTATACTTTATTGAACCAAGGATATTAGATGTTTCAGATTTTCTTATTTTTAGAAGGATCCACCTAGGATTTTTTTACCCTTATTTTTATTTAAAGAAACAAAAATTTATTGATGCACCAATGCATATAAATAACTCCAACATTTAAGGTCTACATAAAAAACTTTCAATTCAGTGATGTGTGGATTGAAAATCTGCAGATTTTTCTCAGATATGTCCCTTGATAATCGGCCAATTAATTTTTTAAAAAAGCTAAGAGTATGGGCTAAAAATTCTAAAGCCACTATATATGTATACCAGAATTGAACAATTAAGTTAAAAAATGGCAGAGAGTGGGAAACAGATTTCTCACTGTTGGAGTTGGAGGTTACAGATAAACAAGGGAGAATACTAGAATGACAGATTTAAGTTGGGTACATCAGTATGAACTCATGTTCATATAAATACAGATAGTTACATATAGAAGTATTTATGGAGACATGTATACACACTGGTTAGTATACACACATATATTGCCTTGCTCTGTCAGCTGACTCTTATCAATAATGATATTCCCAGTGAGCACCCCTGCTGCTCAGATCATTGTTCCTAATACCACCTTCCAATAAAAGAGACCAGGTCTCCTTGGAGACATGACTGATTCTATGACTAAGAAAGAAACTATACAAGATGAGCCTGGGGCACCTTGTATTACCAAAAAACATACACCTTGTATACTCTAAACAAACAAATACATTGAAAAACCATGATAGGGATTATGTCAAAAGGACACTGACACTGATTGTACTATTTCCCAATAACCAAAGCTGAAACAATTTGAACAACAAAATAAAGTAGTATTGCATTATAACCCAATGTATAAAATAAATATCCATGGATCCATACTAATGTAAGTAAAGATAAAATACATGAATACATAGTATAGACAGACAAATATCCCATGCAGAAAATTTCTGAAAAAATTACTGTGGATATTCCTACCTCAGGGAGGTGGAGAATATGCCCTACTCTAAGGTGTGGGCTGAACATGGTTACTTTCTTCTAAAGATTATAGTGTAAAAATGTGGGTAAGAAACATAGGTTCACAATGGATAAATCTTAAACACACTACTTCAGCCTGTGATCAAGGTTAACATCAACAGTGATAACTATTGTTGAAAGTATGTGTCCTTGAAACATTTTGATAATAATGAAACTTTATTTTTGTGGTCTTCCCCAAAACACATAACATTAGTCTAATCATGAGAAAAACATTATACAAATCTTAATTGAGAGGTATTCTACAAACTACGTAGCCAGTATTCCTAAATACAATCAAGGTCATCAAAAAGCAGAAATATCTGAAAAATTGTCATAGTCAAGTAGAACCTAAGGAAACATGATAAACATGATGTGGTATCCTGGATATGATCCTAGAACAGATAAAGGACATTAGACAGAAACTAAAACAATCTGAATAATCAATGGTAGTTAGTCAATAATAATCTATCAATATTGGTTCATTAATTTTGACAAATGTAGCATACTACAGTACAATGTTAATAATAGATGAAACATATGTAATATATGGAAACTGTACTGTTTTTTCATTTTTTTCTATAAACCTAAAACTATTATAAAATTTTTAAGTTTTTTTTTAGTCATGGAGTTTATTGAAGCTGGACCCCTTCCTTACACAATATATCTTATTTAATTTTTCTTTAACTTTTCATTTTTTGTAGGAACATATTAGGCATACATGTTTATGGGGTACATGAGAAATTTTGATAAAGGCATGCAATGTGAAATAAATATGTCATGGAGAATGGGTATAAAAAATACTTACACCACATACAGAAGTCAACTCATGATGGATTAAAGACTTAAAAGTAAAGCCTAAAACTATAAAAACCCTGGAAGGTAACCTAGGAAATATCATTCTGAACATTGAACCTGACTTCATGACAAAGACATCAAGAGGAATTGCAACAAAAACAAAATAGACAAAAGGAACCTAATTAAACTAAAGTGTTTCTGCATAACAAAAGAAGCTATCAATAGGATAAACAGACAACATATAGATTAGAAGAAAATATTTGCAAAATATGCATCTGACAAAGGTCTAATATTTAAAATCTATCAGGAACTTAAACAAATTAACAAGCAAAAAGCAAACAATTCCACTAAAAAGTAGGCAAAGACATGAAGAGGCTCTTTGCAAAAGAAGACATACATGTGGCCAAACAAGCCTATAAAAAATGCTCAAAATCGGCCAGGCGCAGTGGCTCACACCTGTAATCCCATCACTTTGGGAGGCCGAGGCGGGTGGATCACTGAGCTCAGGAGATTGAGACTATCCTGGCTAACAAGGTGAAACTCCATCTCTACTAAAAATACAAAAAGAAATTAGCCAGGCATGGTCGTGGGCACCTGTAATCCCAGCTACTTGGGAGGCTGAGGTAGGAGTATGGCATGAACCTGGGAGGCAGAGCTTGCAGTGAGCCGAGATCATGCCACTGCACTCCAGCCTGGGGGACAGAGCGAGACTCCGTCTCAAAAAAAAAAAATGCTCAAAATCACTAATCATTATAGAAATGGAAATCAAAGCCACATGAGATACAGCCTCACAACAGTCAGAATGGCTATTATTAAAACGTCAAAAAAACACAGATGCTGGTGATGCTGTGGAGAAAAGGGAACACTCATACACTGCTGGTGGGAATGCAAATTAGTTCAACCACTGTGGAAAGAAGTCTGGTGATTTTTCAAATAATTTAAAACACAAGTACTATTTGACCTAACGATTCCATTATTGGGTATATACCTAAAAGAAAATAAATCAGTTTACCATAAAGGCACAGGCACATGTTTGTTACCTCCCACAGGGTCTGTCCCACAACACGTGGTGACTATGGGAGCTATAATTCAAGACAAGATTTGGCTGGGGACACAGACAAAGCATATCATTCCACCACTGGCCCCTCCCAAATCTTATATTCTCACATTTCAAAACCAATCATGCCTTCCCAATAGTCCCCCAAAGTCTCAACTCATTTCAGCTCAACTCAAAATCCAAGTCCAAAGTCTCATCTGAGACAAGGCAAGGTCCTTCCACCTATGAGCCTGTCAAACCAAAAGCGAGTTAGTTACTTCCTAGATATAATGGGGATACAGGCATTGGGTAAATACATTCATTCCAAATGGGATAAATTAGCCAAAACAAAGAGGCTACAGGCCCCATGCAAGTCTGAAATCTAATAGGGCAGTCATTAAAGCTTAAGGTTTCAAAATGATCTCCTTTGACTTCATGCCTCCCATCCAGGGCACATTTATGTGAGAGGTGGTCTCCCATGGCCTTGGGAAGCTTTTCCTCTGTGGCTTTGCAGGGTATAGCCCCCCTCCTGGCTGTCTTCATGGGATGATGTGGAGTGTCTGCAGCTTTTCCAGGTGCACAGTGCAAGCTGTAGGTAAATCTGTCATTCTGGGGACTGGAGGATGGTGGCCCTCTTCTCACAGCTCCACTAGGAAGTGCCCCAGTGGAGACTCTGTGTAGGAGCTCCAAACCTACATTTCCTTTCCACCCTGTCCTAGCAGAGGATCTCCATGAGGGCCTCGCCCCTGCAACAAACTTCTTCCTGGACATCCAGGCATTTCCATACATCCTCTGAAATCTAGGTGGAGGTTCCCAAACCTCAATTCCTGACTTCAGTGTACCTGCAGGCTCAACACCACATGGAAGCTTCCAAGGCTTGGGGCTTGCACCCTCTGAAGCCATGGCCTGAGCTGTACTGTGGCCCCTTTTAGCCATGGCTAGGGAGGCTTAAATGCATTGCATCAAGTCTCTAGGCTGCACACAGCAAAGGGGCCCTGGACCAGGCCCAGGAAACTGTTTTCCCCTTTTAGGCCTCAGGGTCTGTGATTGAAGGGGCTGCCTTGAAGGTTTCTGACATGCCCTGGAGATATTGTCCCCATTGTCTTGATGCTTAACATTCCTCTCCTTATTACTTACGCAAATTTCTGCAGCAGGCTTGAATTTCTTCCCAAAAAGTGGGTTTTTCTTTTCTATTGCATCATCAGGTTGCAAAGTTTTCAAACTTTTATGCTCTGCTTCCTCTTGAATGCTTTGCTACTTAGAAATTTCTTTCATAGGATACCTTAAATCATTTCTGTCAAGTTCAACTTCCATAGATCTCTTTGGCAGGAGTGAAATGCCACCAGTCTCTTTGCATAACAAGAGTCAGCTTTGCTTCAGTTCCCAACAAGTTCCTCATCTCCATCTGAGGCCACCTCAGCCTGGACCTTATTGTCCATATCACTATCAGCATTTTGGTCAATGCCATTCAACAAGTCTCTAGGAAGTTCCAAACTTTTCCACATTTTTCTCTCTTCTTCTGAGTCCTTTAAATTGTTCCAACCTCTGCCCATTACCCAGTTCCAAAGTTGCTTCCAAATTTTGGGCATTCCTTAGCAGCTTCCCACTACCCGGTAACAATTTACTGTATTAGTCCATTCTCACACTGCTAATAGATTACCCTTGACTAGGTAATCTATATAGGAAAGAGGTTTAATAGACTCATAGTTCTTTATGGCTGGGGAGTCCCAGGAAACCTATAATCATGGCAGAAGTGGGAGCAAACATGTCCCTCTTCACATGGCAGCAGCAGGTAAAAGAGAGTGTACAGAGGAACTGCCCCTTATGAAACCATCAGATCTCATAAGAACTCACTTACTATAATGAGAACAGCATGGCAAACCCACCCCCATGATTCAATCACCACCCAACGGGTCCCTCCCATGACACATGGGGATTATGGGAGCTATAATTCAAGGTGAAATTTGGGTGGAGACACAGCCAAATCATATCAAATAACTCATAAGGAACAATTGTAACAATATACTCTAATAAAAGTTATGTGAATGTGGTCTCTGTCTCTCTCTCCTCTCTCTCTCTCTCAAAACATCTTATTCTACTGTACAGTGAGTAATAGAAATTATGAAAAGCATAACTGTGGATAAGAGGGGGCTACTTTATGCTCCTGTAGGGACTGGGTTTAGAATGAAGTATCCTATTTGAGTATCAATCTGTTTAATTAGGGACTCCTGCTACTATTTACTTTTCTCCTGTCTTATTTTCCAAATGCTGGAGAATCTTCCCTTATTCCAGACAAATGGATGCCTCTGTCCCAATAGGGATGTATTCTTAACTTTCATCAACTATCGTCTATGGTTCAGATCCATTTGCTTGTCTATACTCCTGCAAGAATCGTATTATGCATAACCTTGAATTGATTATGAAAACATTGAATATCACAGTAGGAAAATCCTTACCTCCAACTAAAAAGAGGTTTCTTTTAGTCTTCATCTATAATTTTTATTTGTTTGTCCTTTTTTATGACTTGTTTTTTGGTTTGATTGAATAAATATTTGTATGAGTTGCATAATTATAAATGAGTTAGATACAAAATATATAAATATGTATGTTTAGAAATGAATTAAAGGAGAGTATCTTTGGCATCTATCAGAGGATATGCTTTTTTTAACAAAACTTTATCATATTGGAAAATAGACATTTATATGATATATGTATATAAGGGGATTTGAGCTTCTGTTCACTAACTAGTCGTCAAAATATACGATGTTTTACAAGTTTAGAGTGTTGAAATACTTTAGCTTAAAAATTCTTTTACAAATATACCACATAATTTAAATTCACTCAATTGCCTCTGTCTCACAACAGACATTAGCTCTCACTCATTTGAACTATGGAGGTCAATTTGAAGTAGTAAGAAGTATGATATTAGACAACTTTTAAGTGAAGTTGTATAATTTTAAGTAATTCAGTATAAATTATTAAAACAGTATTCCTTAAAAAAATTCATTATATTTTTGAAAGTAACATTTAATCTAATTATTGTATGTTAATAGTTTGAGTGTGTAAAATAATTAAGAAAACTATAAACTAGATAAAATGATAATCAGAATTTGAAGAACTATCATGTGTTGATGTTAATGATTTTTTAAATTAATAAATTTTTTTTTAGCTGTTTCCAATCTACAGAAAAATGGAGCAGAAAGTACACAGAGTTTTCATATACCCCTCAACCTTCTTACATACAGTTTACCCTACTATCTTGCTTTAATTTGGAACATTTAATATAATTGATGAGTCAACGTTGAGTCATCACTCTTAACTAAAGTCCATAGTTGACATTATGGCTCACTCTGTGTTGTACATTCTGTGTGTTTTGACAAATGCATAATGACAAGTATCATCCATTGGAGTATCATATAAAATAGTGTCATGTCACTGCCCTAAAAATCCCCTGGGCTCCAACCATTCATCTATCACTCCCTCTACTGAACCCATGGCAATTACTGAAATTTTTACTCTTTCTCCTTTTTCCTTTTCAGAATATCATATAGTGAGAATAATACAGTATGTAGCCCTTTCAGATTGGCTTTGTTCACTTAGCAATATGCATTTAAGGTTCCTCCATATTCTTTTATGACTTGATAGTTCATGTCTTTGTATTGCTGAATAATATTCCATTGTATGGGTGCATCACATCTCATCCATCTATACATATGTATATGTAACTTGTTACTTCATTTTTTACTTCATTTTAATGTACATCAAATGGCTTGATTTTTGCCCACAGATTCCTGAGTGATTCAGTTTGTGAAGTTTATTATGTCACCTAGTTCACTGATCTTTTCTCTGACAGTGTCTAATCTGCTTTTAAGACCAGACAGTGAATATTTGATCTTAAATGATTTAATTTTGAGATTTTAAATTTAAAATTTTTATTTTAAGAGTTTCCATTTCTTTTTATATTTTCATGATTTTATTTTAATTCTTGAGCATGTTTATAAGCTGAATTTATGTTTTGTCTACTACTTCCATCTCTGTCATTTATGCATCCGTTTCTATTTTTGTAGTTTCTCCTAGTTATGGTACTGTATTACTGTTTCTTTTTAAATCTGGTAAATTGCTTGTGCTCCAGTAATTTAATACAACTTCAACTCGTTGTATTTTTTATTTGTTTGTCAACATCTCAGCTTGGCATTCCTTTAGGTGAAAAATTTAATTCTGTATACATACATGATAGCCTGTCATAAATTTTTCTTTCTTTTTCCTTCTTATTTTTTTGGTGTATTTTTTTTCTAACAGTCAATTTGTCAGTTGTTCTCTTTGATGGATTATTCTTTTTGTAGAAAGTCTAAAAACACTTTTCCTAGCCCCAGACCCTGAAGATAATCTCCTATATTTTTCCAAATATTTTAGGGTTTAAATTTAACACTTTTGGATGTGACTTGTTTTGAGTTCATTTATTTAAAGTCTGATACTTAGGTAAATGTTCATTTTTTTGCATATGGGAGTTCAGTTCTTCATTATCATTTGTTGGAAATGCTATCTTCCCTCCATTTAATTGCTTTTGTGTCTTTGTAAACTATGAATTGGGCATAATTCTGTGGGTCTATTTCTGGATCCAGTTCTATTATATTGTTCTATGTGTCTATCACCCTGCCAAAAAAAAAAAGTCCTGGATTTCTACTTATCTAAAATTCAAAATTCTAGATCCTTGCTTTTGCTGAAATTTGATGATCAGACAGTATTTAAAGATATTTTGATTAGACAAATTATATGTTTTTATCAATTACCCTATGCACCCCATTATAGCTGGCAATTCTTTTTGTTTGTTTCATTGTGTGCTTAAATGTTTTTCCCAGCTACTATTATCCGAAACTTCTTTAATGTGAATTAGACATGGAGTTTTCATTTTCTTTTTCACACATAGTTGTTTCCTGATATCTGGTTTAGAAATAATATTAAGATGCCAAATCTCAAGGAGGTGAAGAAAGGGTCTATAAGAGTAGTTACCTTAGCTGTAATATTTTTGTTTAGTAGATTTTTTTAGTGGTTATTTCATGTTTTGTTTGGGGCATTTTTTACTTTGGTTTTATAAAAAGTAACAAATAGTTTCATAATTGTTTCATGTAACATGGAGGTAGGACTTGAAAAAGTAATTCAGCTATTCTTATTATGTATTAATTGTTCAAATGAACCAGTGTGGGATGTTAACACTATCAATTAATTGGTGTGATTAGGCTTGCCATTTTATTTTTATAAATTGTGTATTTTTTCTGAATGCGCTTGAGTCTAAGAGTGGGAAAAAATAATTTTCTACTTTGGACTAATCTGTAAAGGTTTTTGAAAGTCTGTATTAATAACTTGTTGAATTCATGATATTCTGCCTATGGCACAAATTGTAAACTTTTGCTTTTCTAAAATAAAGTAATTCACCACCTGCAAGAAAAAAAAATGGTAAGAAAAAACAGGGGGGACACATGCCTTGGGAATGAAAGGGATTTCTCATTACAGCCTGGCCAGGTTGGAAATCTCACTTTCTACTTGGCTTTTTCTGGCTGGTTGGGATGGGAGTGAAACAGGGTTTATTTCTGTGGTGATTGGCCTGGTTAGATTTGTTAGTGTCTAAAAGTTCTCTTTCTAGGCTCTCCTTTTGTAGTAGTCCATTGCCACACTGCTAATAAAGACATACCTGAGACTGAGTAATTTATAAAGGAAAGAGGTTTAATGGATCACAGTTCCACATGGCTGGATAGGCCTCACAATCATAACGGAAGATGAAGGAAGAACAAAGGGACATCTTACATGGCAGCAGGCAAGAGGACATGTGCAGGGGAACTGCCCTTTATAAAACTATCAGATCTCATGACACTTATTCACTACGACGAGAACAGCATGGGGAAAACTCACCTCCATGATTCAATTACCTCCCACTAAGTCCCTCCCATGACACGTGGAGATTATTACAATTCAACGTGAGATTTGGGTGGGGACACAGAGCCAAACCATATCACCTTTTATGGTCCATTGCTAAGGAGGAGAGTAGGATTTTGCTGAGGCTTTTCTTGTCTGTGACTATTGGTGTTTTTGGATTGCTGGTTTCTTTAGAATATATGAGACAAAAGAAGTGCTATGCAATTCACCACCATGTTGTTCCTCATAATTGAGGTCCCAAGTTAGCCTGCTTTCTTCCCTCTACCTTTTAGAATCTTCTTGAGTGTGCACGTGTGGGTGTATCAAATATATATACTTTTCCCTATTCCTCCCACTAGGTACAAATAAAAACCATATATAGACAACTAAAATCTCCATATGGTTTTTAGTCATATATATATAGTTTTTAGTTGTACCTAGTGGGAGGAATAGGGAAAAATATGTCTACTCTGTTTTCTCAGAAATAGAAATCTTTAGCTCTCATTCTGAAACAGAAATATCAGGTGACATTATACCTCTTTACAGGGTTGAATTGTCTATGTATTTTTAAATTATTTTGCTTTGTCCAGCATATCAGTGTATCTTAATATGAGAATTTGCAAATAATTCTTCAGTCTGGTATGTTACTTAAAACATCACAGTGAAATCTCAGGAAATATTTGGATACATTTTGCCTCTATTTGTATAAATTTATTACTTAAGTCATCTGTCCCATTTCCCATTTATCACCATTAGCTAACACAATGCCTAGCTAGTAGTAGACATTTAGTAAATATTTCTTGAATAAATAGTGAAAGAATAAATGCTTACATCAAAACAGTGGCACCTAGCCCAACGACTGCCTTCTAAAATAATTATTCATTGTGTTAAGTAAGTGATTGTTTCCTTTTGCATTTTTCCTGATCATCTGACATTCAGATAAAGCATAATTAGTATTTAAAATTAAGTAAAGAGCTAATGGACATCTAGTACATATTTTATAGATCAAACTACAATGTCAGCATCTTGGAGGTGCCAGTGTTTGCTCTACTTGCCATTTCCATGCATCTCTCCAGTTTCTATATAAGTGTTTAATTAGATAGATCCTAGAACTTCACTCCTCTGTCAAAAACTTGCCATTTTCCATGTAACTTCCATGATGCCAGACAATCTCACTTTCTGACTTTCAAAGTTCTTCAAATTCCAGCCCGCAATACTTTTGTGCTTTTCCTTAGGCTAATCTCCTGCACAAGTTAATGCTAAGTACATTGTTCCCCAAATCAAAATAGATGCCAACTCCAAATACTAGATCTCTTCAGCTTCTGACAAAACATATAGTCTCACTTCCTCTTTGTGTCAAAACGATTGTGACGACCTATCACTCCAGTTTCTATAACTTAGCAGTCTCCTTTATAAAATTATTCCCCAGAAATTCTTAAGCATTGCCTAGGAGTCTCTTTCACAAATATGTTGACACAATTATATCAGTTTATTCTGCTCCAGCTTTCTTATATATACCTTGCCAAAATATCCATGGTGCTACTACTATTCCGAAAACCCCTGTTTTGCTGGACACAGCTTTTCTCAGCTTTCAACTTCTACTGCCACCTCCTGTCCCACAAAAGTGCATGACATAGGGGAAAATATATGATTTTCCCTATCATCAGTTATCTCCAAGCAGTTGTCCTTCCTTTTAAAAACTGTCCATAATATAACTGAAACCAAGTAGTATCTTTAATAATGCTTCACCAAATATCATGGATGGTTTACATATTGCTTCTCTAGCTAACTCTGCACTAAGAATTTTTTATGAGGCTAACCCTGTGCCTCAGTTTTGTCTGCAGGCTCATATCCACGGAGAACTTCCTCATTTTTTTTTTTTTTGAGACAAGATCTCACTATGTTGTCAAGGCTGGAGTGCAGTGGCTATTCACAGTTGTGATCATAGCACCATAGCTCACTGCAGCCTCAAACTCTTGGCCTCAAGCAATCCCATTATGGTTTGGTTTGGCTGTGTTCCAACCCAAATCTCATCTTGAACTGTAGCTCCCATAATTTCCATGTGTCATGGGAGGTACCCAGTGGGAGGTAGTTGAATCATGGGGATTGGTCTTTCCTGTGCTGTTCTCCTGATAGTGAATAAATCTCATGAGATGTAATGGCTTTATAATGGGGAATTCCCATGCACATGCTCTCTTGCCTACTGCCATGTAAGACATGACTTTGCTCCTCCTTCACCTTCCACCATGATTGTGAAGCCTCCCCAGTCATGTAGAGCTGTGAGTCTATTAAATCTCATTTTTTAAATAAATTACCCAGTCTTGAGTATGTCTTTATTAGTGGCATAAGGACAGACTAAAACACACCTCAACCTCCTGAGCAGCAGTGACTGAGCTTCCTCATCTTGACTAAAATTGACTTAAGCCTCTTCATACTTCAGACATAGTGCACTTTAAATACTCTGGGACCTAGAAAAGGGGATATTTGGAAGGGAGAAGATTTTAATAATAAGAGAGAAATAAACTCTTTTATAAGAGAAATATAGTTGTGTATTTTATGTTTAATGAAATAATTAAGATATATAAGGTCAGTAAATTCAGAGGAACATGTAGCATATGCCATTCAGTCAGACATTGAAAGAGAAAATAACTTTAAAATTTTTAGTTGCTTTTCCAAAAGCCAAATTAAAGTGTGTACACAGTTGGAGATTAGGGGATCTAACTGAAATGGTAGTCACTAAGTCTAGTTGTTTCAATTACAAAATAAAATTTCAACAAGGCCTCATGCACAGAGAAAATACAGAAATGAGGCAAATAATTATTTGTAACAGGCTGAATCTGAATAGATTTATTCTTTTCTTATTTTTAAAAATATTTTATTTAGAAATTTTTTCACAGAGAAAAGTTGCAAGGACATTACATTTATAGCATTAAGAACATCACAGATTGATTGACATATTGTTAATATTTTACCCAATTTTCTTTATCATTTGACATATTTCCATTTTTAATTTATGTATATATTTATGTATAATATATGTACATATATATGTATGTGGATACAAGTATATATATTTATACATATTTACACACAAGTGTATATGCAAGTAAGTATATATGTATATAGACATATATATATTCCTTTATTGATCTGTCATGATGGAAGACCCAGGTAAGTGTCTTGGAGTTGTTTAAGCAGAATACTCTAGGAGATCTTATTTAAAATAATTTAGGTAATCAATTCATAGTGTTTACAGATCCTGTGTGCTCTGTGAATCAGGTTCATGCTCTTTGCCTATCGTGTTTTCTACTGGCACCATTATGTACAGCTCAGGTAGTCCAAGGGTTTGTGAGTTTTGCATCACATTTTCTTTCCTTCTAGTCAACAAGACAGTATAGGTTGGGAAGGGAGACTCACAGGGTTATATGTTTTGGCTGTGTCCCCACCCAAATCTCATCTTGAATTGTAGTCCCCATTATCCCTGCAGGTTGTGGGAGAGACCCAGTGGAGGTAAATGAATCATGGGGGCAGTTACTCCTATGCTGCTGTTCTCATGATAGTGAGTTAGTGAGTTCTCATGAGATCTGATGGTTTTATAACAAGCCTTTCCCTCTTTGCTTGGCATTTCTCCTTCCTGCCATCATGTGAAGAAGGACATGTTTGCTTTCCCTTCCACCATGATTGTAAGTTTCCTGAGGCCTCCCCAGCTCTTTGGAACTGTCAGTCAATTAAATCTATTTTCTTTATAAATCACCCAGTCTTGGACAGTTCTTTATAGCAGCATGAGAATGAACTAATACACAGCGGTATGTTAGGGAAAGAAAGAAATAATTATTTTTTCTATCTTCACGCATATCCACCTTATTATTTTCCATTTCTTACTCCAGAATGAAGCTTTCCCAGGAGGACTAAAAATAAATCTGACCAGTTCCTTGAAGAATCACAGCCCACTTCTACCCATGAAGCAGATTTTTTTTTGCCCCAGGAAACTAACCTAAAAATATTCTGACATTGGTATATTTTCTAAAGTACACATTTCTGTTTGATCCATAGTTAATGTATTACACTTGCAGAGTCAGTGTCTGCTTTTAATTACGGATCAGAATTCTGGAAAGAACAAATGGAATTGAAATCAGAGACTGTGGTTTAAAATCTGATATTGTGTTTAATTATGTTAAATTAATGTAGAGTTTCCTCAACCTAGTCGATTATTTGATTGGCAAAATGGAATTATAATGAGTTGAAAATGGATGTATAGGAAACCGTGGATGCTCAGAATGATAAAGGCTCAATTATTTCTTTTGGCAATCTCTTTATACATTAGTCCCAAGCCAAAATATAAGTCTATGTTTCAAAGCTTCATGGATTTGCATTTTAATTTTTTTCAAAAAATATGCACTCCATCTGGTATAGCGTTGTCAAATAAGGTATTTCCTTCAACATTCAAGATGTAGCAAACTGCATAGTTACAACTATTGCAGTTTTTCTTTTTACTTAAGAATGCATTTAAGCCTCTCATATCAGGGACAGAAATGTCATAAAATATCTTGACATCGTAAATTGGAAAGTTGTAACACCAGTTACTAACCATAATCTTTTTTTAACACCATTTACTAGCTATAACTTTTGTTTTGAGCTCAATATATTTACTTGTCACATCTTCAAACCACCCTTTAGAATTTGAAATATGAAGTCAAAAATTATTTAAAAGTTAATTCTGAATCCATGATTTGCATACATTTTCAGCACACAGATGCAATACAATACATCATTATCAGTGTGATTTTAAAGACAATGAGGTCTTCTCATCCACTTTCATCTACTCCTGTAATTCAAAAAAGAAAACTTAATGGTTTAAGTTGCAAATTGAGTTCATCTGCAATAGGATGGAGGCTTTGGTCACCTTCAAATGTTAAAAATGTATCTACTCTTTTTCTTCTCAACTAAACTGTTAGACTTAAGAATTGGCCTACAGTCTAACCCACATGCTAGTCAGGAATGTTTTTAAATGACTGTGGAGTTGTAAACATGACCAGGTCGAAAGCAGTAAAACGACTGGACAAGAACCTAAATATGACTACTGGGTAAAGAAATTGTTAAATCTAATTGATAATGGAAATGTTACATTTCATATGTGTGAAATGTACAGAATTTAACAAAAATCAGGTAGATAAAATGTAATCACTTGGAGTCTCCTGTTGATTTATTGACAGTTGGAAGAACATGTTACTTTCCTTCCTGGGTCTTAGATTATAGAGAATATCAACTCTGGCTTACAGGAACAACAACAGCAAAAATTGTCCCGTGGACAGAAGAACTGTCCCAGCTTTGCTCAGCCACAAACTCTCTCTTCCATATGGAGATAAGGTTTGGGGACAAAACCCATGTTTTCTCTGGAAGCATGTTTCTTCTGGACTCTACCTTTTCAAACTGATCTACCTGAAGCGAAGATGCATCCTCTTAGATGTGGCAAGACTCCGCCTCCCAAAAATAACCCCAAGGTCATCCAATTTGCTAATAATTGGTTAGATACCTCTGTTTAATTCAGAAGCAAATTACTAGCAACGCCTACTTCATGCATATAGATCCAGAATCTTGTTCTCTTTGCTATCTCTATATGCCTCTGCTCTTTTTTTTCTTACCTAGCATCACAGTAGAGTAGAAATAATCATGCATTTCATACATTGCCTAAACAGCAAATACAGTTTTTAAAATATATTTTTTCAATAGTTGGCAAAAAAATGTTATCTTACTCAGAGATTTTCTGCCCCTACACAGCCTGCATTTTATGATGGTTTTGAAATCAATGTAAACTATGTAAAATAATATTTAGGTGAAGATTTTTGTAAAGGACAAATCCATGTAAAATATCAGTATTATACAGCCAATTGTCAGTTCTAACTGCACGTCAGCGTATTGCCTCCGGGCACACACTCATTGCCATATGAATTCTTTGGTTGGTTGGAATTGTATATGGAGTCAATAAATTGCACCCCTCTTCCTCAAAGTTTAAAACCTTTGAGAGAGAGACAGAAGTCAGTTAGGTGTAGATCAAAATGACAGCTCTGTTAATCACACAAAACTTAGGAAAATGTAGACCTATAAGAGGAATGGGCTCACTAAGACTTTACCTCTGAGAGCCAATGAATTGTAGGTCATTAGGTGCAGAAAATATGCATTCCTTCTGGAATTTTCACTTATTTTAAATACGAAGAATGGGGCAGAACATGCTCAGGTATTTCTTCCAAAATATTGGTATGCCACCTCTACAACCTTTAAAGACGTGTAATCTTCAGTAAGTCACATATCTTGAACTTCATTCACTTACCTGGAGAAAGTTCTTGCAACAAATCCATAGCTATTAAATAAGTTACCATAAAAAGTTTTTCAGGTAAAAAATGCCTAGGATACCTTCCAAATGGTAATTTTTGTAATTCCTTATGAACTTACATTATTTGAACTCCTTTCTCTCCCAGTAAAAGAGACTCAGAAAGCCCAGTCTTTAGGAATTGATGGGACATTGAGCCTACAACACTCCATTTTTGTCCTGTGCCATTTCATTATTTATTTATTTACTTATTTAATTTTTGGCTTGGTGACTTTTCACGTTAACATTTTATACATTCGTGCTTCATTTGCCTACACTCTCATTTCCTCCCTCCTTTAAAGTCCTTATAATTAATTAATTCATGATTGTGCATTATATGTCCATTTATATGAAGTTACTAATCTTGGTGGATTTCACATCATAGGAATTCATTTAGATTATTTAGCAAATAATTCATGCTTAACAACAAAAAATGTGGAAAACTGAATAAATTAAGTTAAAGTATTCATGAATTTTTTGAGATGATTTAGGGAAAAAATGTCTTTCACCAGTTTATTGGGCATTGGTATTACTAACACAAAAAACATGGAGATAACAGAAAAGCTTGTAATTACATACTTTCCTCTATCTGAGTATGGATTACATTACGTATACAGAAATAATTGATAAGGCAGATTAATAACTTTAACAAATAGAAATGATTATGTGGCCCCTAAACAGTCAGAAGATAATATTAGAAGATTACTGTGGAGTACATAAGCAAGAGAAGACATGCTAATCTTGCAAGTAAGATTTCTAATCACAAGAATGCTTTTGTAACATTTGAAACATGATTAACCAATTATGTACAGTATATGATTGTATAGGTAAATATTTATGAAACTTTTAAATTTCTGTGTAAATATCATTTTCTCACAGGCATACAATAAAAAGTTGGAATTAAAAGTGGGCAACAAACAATTTTCTTATTCTGTTTGTTTGATGTAAATAACACAGCTTCATTAGTGAACTGTCACTGCCCACAACTAATTTTGGAGCAAAAAAAAATCTATTTTGGTAGTCGTTTGTCTATTATAAAAGTAAAAAGTACATGCTGTGGAATGAGCAATTATTTGCTAGGTGGTAATAGTTGTTCATATTTATTGAGTCAATGATACAGGCCCTCTTCGAAACTCTTTATAGGCCTCAACTTATTAATTCTCACAATGATCTGCCAGCCTTACTCTTCCCCTGGACAAAAGAAACAAAAGAGGTAGAGGGGCACCTACCATACCTTTGAAATAAAGAAATTAAATCCTTTCTGGATTTAAGCAGCTCACAGCATAGAGAAAAGAAAAATAAATAAATTTATGATTTCAATTTAGAGGAATAAATATTACTATTCAGAACTATTCCAGATATTGTCTCAGTACTGAAGACAAGAAGGAAAGTTTCTTCCTGAACCAACACATCATGTGGAAGAGGGTCAAACCCAACTTGCTGGAAACCTGCTAAACTGTTCCTACAGTTGGCCCAAGTTCTAGCAATATTATAGCATCTGAACACCCTGTAAGTTTATTTCCTTTTCAGAAACATTTACATCCATCTCTGATTTTTATTCCTGAACTGTTTACTTCCTTACCCACACAAACACAAAGGTTTCTTTCTTCCTTGTCCACTTTTATGTAATCAACACTGGCAGGAACTTTTTCATCACTTGAAATCATGACTTAGGATATTTGGTCAAACTATACATCAAAATGGATTCATCATATATTTGTCTCGAAAGAATTTCCTGATAAATTCCAATTAATTTTGATTTATATCTCTGCCTCCAGAAAACCAATAACCATCTTTTATTATTGGCCAATTTTTTTTTTTGACAGAGTTTCACTCTTGTTGCCCAGGCTGGAGTGCAATGGTGTGATCTCGGCTCACTGCAACCTCTGCCTCTTGGGTTCAAGTGATTCTCCTGCCTCAGCCTCCTGAGTAGCTGGGATTACAGGCAAGTGCCACCACGCTGGGCTAATTTTGTATTTTTAGTAGAGATGGGGGTTTCTCCATGTTGGTCAGGCTGGTTTCGAACTCCCGACCTCAGGTGATCCACCCACCTCAGCCTCCCAAAGTGCTGGGATTACAGGTGTGAGCCACCGCACTCAGCCTATTTTTGGCCTTTTTTTTTTTTTTTTTTTTTTTTTTGAGACAGAGTCTTGCTTTGTCACCCAGGCTGGAGTGTATTTTTGGCCATTCTTATCATCTCCCTTTAACTCTTCTTCTGAAGAAAGGGAGAAAAAAAAGAGATGAAGAGAACTGGCCTTGTCTGCTCCTGAAATATAAAGTGAAGACTATAGGTTCAAATGACTTTAGTTGCCTCTAAATGGTTTCCCACTTATTTGTTCATAGATACCAAAAGAAATAGGTTAAAAATTTAGGTCAATGGATAAGCACATTTAACATAAACATTTTTAAATAACCAAAATAAAATTATTCATACTTCTATGCATTTATTTTTATGTATTTTCTCCTAGCCTTTATCAGCTTAGTAGGAATTGAGTAACTGTAAACCTCAAATCTATGAGCAATGCCAACTTGTCATTAGTGCCTCAGAAACTAATGGTTTCTAAAGAGAGAAAATGGTACTTTAATGAATTTTATTATCTCTGCTACCTTCAGCTTATGCAAGAGGCCTTTACAGCTTGCTTGAGAAAAAAAATTAAGTAGCTACAAATATCAAAAATAGCAGCTCTCTCTATGCCATTCGTATTTCAAAACTGTATCAAACACCTTTAAAAATGTTTTATTTCTAGAATTTGGTTCTGTTAGTTCATATGTGTTTTTTTTCTAAAATAATGACTGATGACTATGAAGATTAAAAGGTATTTTTCTAAAATAATGACTGATGATTATGAAGATTAAAGGGTATAATGTAAGTTTTTGTGAAAGTGCCCAAGAATGATTTCTAAATAAAATTATCACGATTCTTGATTTTTAAGTGAGTGTAACATTCAATGCAAATAGTACAATCAAAGCTTTTGAAGTCATTTTTTTCTCTTAACTGTAAATATTCATGTACATATAGAAAAGCATTGAGATAACCAACTCATGCTTAACTGATCAGTCGAAAACTCTTTTTACCTGTGATGCACAGAGAAGTGAATATAAGCACATCTTGTGAATACTCACCTACCCAGGTGGACTAAACAATAGGATATGTTAAATTCTCCTTTAGTAATAAATAATAGCTTTATGAATGTTGTGTTTGAATACAATTACTTAAGGAGAAGAAATAATGAAATCAGTTCATTAGAAAAGATAGCCATAGAAAAATGTAATGAATTTAAATGACCCTAAATAAAGATGTAATTATATAACTTGAATTTTTTTTTTTTCCAGTGCAAGTGAAATTTCTGTCCACAGCAATTATGTTGTCATGCTTTTCTATGTGTTTTGAGCTTTTTTGTGTATTTTCAGTCTATCTCCTGTAGTTGTTTTTTTGGGGCGGGGGGTTTTGTTGTTTTTTTTTTCTTTTTTCTGCCTAGACTCCATTCTTTCTCATGGAAAATCTGTTCTCTTATTTTTAGAAAATTATCCCTTCCCCATTACCCATTTTACTTATGGTCTTATAGGGAGTTGTTATTATATCGTCATACATGACTCTTTCACCTCTGGAAAGAGGAGAAATCTGGAAAGAGTGATTTGTCTAGGAGCAGGGATGCAAACCAAGTCAGTCCTTCAGCATGTTTTTCTGGAATTTTTCACATGAGAGAAGGCTATTTTCCAGAAGGCAAAGTTGGAAATAAACGAACTCCTATCTCCTATCAGCTATTGTTCTGGTACTTTGCAGAAAGTAGATTTGATATTGTAGTAGTTGGTATAGGAAGATATCCCATAAATAGGATAACTTGATTCTGACCCTCCCAGGACAGCACACATTGCATGTATTAATATTTGTGAGTGTTAATTTTGTCATGTATTAATACAATGAACCCTGTAAAACTGAGTATGAACAAGAACCAGCTATAGAAGAGGAAGCTGTTGAGTTACTTCTCAGATTTTCTGGACTGAGCAGAGATTCTTGAGTTCGGTGACCTTACCAGCTTGGTCAAACCTCCTTCAATCTCATCCAAGTCATCTGGTCAGTGTTTCTGCAGGGTTCAGAAGTACCAAGAGCACTGTATAAATCTTCTCATCTGTACCTATGTCCTTGAGGCTAGGGAAACCATGGATTGCCTGTTCTAATATTTATGTGGCACTGATAACATTGTATGCAAAACAACTTTCTACTGAAGAGAATAAGGCCAATATCAAAGAGAGGAAAAGCTGAGTGATGGAGGGTCCTGGCCAAGCTCAAGTCACTGTTAGCAATGTCTGCAATTGTTTCTGGAGCTGCTTTTTTCCTCATCTTTCTTACGGTTGAGTACTTTAGCTATTCCTTTCAGTGAATAGCACTACAATCTTCCAAGATAATTTTCTTTTGTGCTAAGTTTGAGTTGTATATATGTAAAAATCAAGAGTTCTGATTGATACAGAAACTGTCCATAGAGCTTGACACACTGTAGATGATATACTCTAGAATATGACAATAGAGACAAGACAATAAGTCTCCAAGGATCCATGCATTCTGGGTTGGTAAAGAATTATTTTGGGTAGGCAAAACCAATAATGTTAGTTACATTATGAGGATCCATACATTTTTGGTTGGTAAAGAGCTATTTTTGGTAGGCAAAAGCAATGAAATTAGTTAAATTATGACATATTAGCCCTTAGTACCCTAGATACAGATTGGCACAAAAATATATGTTTTAGGTAGCCCATTAAAAATATGTCAACTATGTACCGACTGCTTCTTAGTTAGGTAAGGCACTATTAAAGTGAAACATATTTGAGCCAGAGCCTGTCCATCCCAAGAAAGATCAGGGACAGCTGACCAGATAGAAAAGAGCAGCTACATGGTCGCTCATTCAGCCTGATTAAGACCATAATTTAAAAAAATTGATTTACGGCCAGGTGCAGTGGCTCACACCTGTAATCCCAGCACTTTGGGAGGCTGAGGTGGGTGAATCATGAGGTCAGGAGTTTGAGACAAGCCTGGCCAACATGGTGAAACCTTGTTTCTACTAAAAATACAAATATTAGCCAGGTGTGGTGGTGGGTGCCTGTAATCCCAACTACTCGGGTGGCTGAGGCAGGAGAATCACTTGAACCCAGGAGACGGAGGTTGCAGTGAGCCAAGATCACACCATTGCACTCCAGCCTGGGCAACAAGAGCAAAACTCCATCTCAAAAATAAAAAATAAATAAAAATAAAAAATAAAAATTGATTTAAAAGATTAGTTATAAAAAAGTTATGTATATATCTTTGATGTACTTTTCCTGAGATCTAATGAGATTTGAAATATTTTGTATTTATATTAGCTATTTATATTTGTTTTTTTCTCTTGTAGGTTATCTGTTAACATAATTTCCAGTTTTCTATAGTATCTTAGAGAGAGTGAATAGAGTTATTTCTCTAAAAAGTTTGTGAAAAAGAGTGAAATTTTTAAAAAGTAGCTGAGGAGTACATGTAAATGAAAAAAGCATTTTTTTCAGTTGGCTTTATTTTTGCTTTTAACATAAATTTGAGGATATCCAAGGGCCAATGAATAGCTCCAAATATAGTATAAAATATGGCTATGTAGGTGTTGGGAATAAAAATTGATAGTAAAAGTTTCTGAAGAAAACAAGACAAAGGAACATGAAAACATAGATTAAGATAATTATTTCCTAATCTTCAATTCCCCAAAGTTCTGATAAAATTATATAGAATTTTAATTCCATAATGTTATTTTTCTCAAAATACATTTCCTATTTTTAAATAATTTTATGTAAAATTTACAAGTCTCCACATTATGAAGCTTGACTTAGACTTACCATCATTCAAAGATATCTCAGTTTATCAAACTTTATTTGTGGTTCACTTTTGCATTTTCATAATGTGTATGAAATCACTTCCTCAATTAGATTTTTAGAAAAGTTGATGCCTGGATAATGTACTTCCTGAGTGCTTCTGTATCTTAGTATCTTTTTATTTTGAATTTGCAGTTGAATAATATTAATCTAAATATAGAAATTTAGATGAAAATATCATAAAAATGGCCATACTGCCCAAAGTAATTTATAGATTCAATGCTATCCGCATCAAGCTACCATTGATTTTCTTCACAGAATTAGAAAAAACTACTTTGAATTTCACAGGGAACCAAAAAAGAGCCTGTATAGCCAAGACAATCCTAAGCAAAAAGAACAACGCTGGAGGCATTACACTACCTGACTTTGAACTATACTACAAGGCTACAGTAACCAAAACAGCATGGTATTGGTACCAAAACGGATATATAGACCAATGGAACAGAACGGAGGCCTCAGAAATAATGCCACACACCTACAACCATCTGATCTTTGACAAACCTGACACACGCAAGCAATGGGGAAAAGATTCCCGAATGGTGTTGGGAAAACTGGCTTGCCATATGCAAAAAACTGAAACTGGAACCTTTCTTTACACCTTATACATTAATTAACTCAAGATGGATTAAAGACTTAAATGTAAGACCTAACACCATAAAAACCCTAGAAGAAATCCTAGGCAATACCATTCAGGACATAGGCAAGGGAAAAGAGTTCATGACTAAAACACCAAAAGCAATGGCAACGAAAGTCAGAATTGACAAATGGGATCTAATTAAACTAAAGAGCTTCTGCACAGCAAAAGAAACTATCATCAGAGTGAACAGGCAACCTACAGAATGGGAGAAAATTTTTGCAATATATACATCTGACAAAGGGCTAATATCCAGAATCTACAAAGCACTTAAACAAATTTACAAGAAATAAACAAACAACCCCATCAAAAAGGGGATGAAGAATGTGAACAGACACTTCTCAAAAGAAGACATTTACGTGGCCAACAAATATATGCGAAAAAGCTCATCATCAGTGTTCATTAGAGAAATGCAAATCAAAACCACAGTGAGAAACCATCTCACACCAGTTAGAATGGCGATCATTAAAAAGTCAGGAAATAACAGATGCTGGAGAGGATGTGGAGAAATAGGAATGCTTTTACACTGTTGGTGGGAGTATAAATTACTTCAACCATTGTGGAAGACAGTGTGGCAATTCCGCAAGGATTTAGAACAAAAATACCATGTGACCCAGCAATCCCATTACTGGGATTTGGTATACACCCAAAAGTTTATAAATCATTCTACTATAAAGACACATGCACACATATGTTTATTGCAGTGCTGTTCACAATAGCAAAGACTTGGAACTCACCCAAATCCCCATGAATGATAGACTGGATAAAGAAAATGTGGCACATGTACACCATGGAATATTAGGCAGCCATATAAGAAAGGATGAGTTCAGGCCAGGCGCGGTGGCTCACGCCTGTAATCCCAGCACTTTGGGAGGCCGAGGCGGGTGGATCATGAGGTCAGGAGATCGAGACCATCCTGGCTAACAAGGTGAAACCCCGTCTCTACTAAAAATACAAAAAATTAGCTGGGCGCGGTGGCGGGTGCCTGTAGTCCCAGCTACTCGGGAGGCTGAGGCAGGAGAATGGCGTGAACCCGGGAAGCGGAGCTTGCAGTGAGCCGAGATTGCGCCACTGCAGTCCGCAGTCCGGCCTGGGCGACAGAGCGAGACTCCGTCTCAAAAAAAAAAAAAAAAAAAAAAAAAAAAAAAAAAAAAAGAAAGGATGAGTTCATGTACTTTGCAGGGACATGGATGAAGCTGGAAACCATCATTCTCAGCAAACTAACACAAGAACAGAAAAACCAAACACTGCATGTTCTCACTCATAAGTGGGAGTTGAACAATGAGAACACATGGACACAGGGAGGCAAACATCACACACTGTTCCTATTGGGGGTTGGGGAGGCTAAGGGAGGGATAGCATTAGGAGAAATCCCTAATGTAGATGACAGGTTGATGGGTGCAGCAAACCACCATGGCATGTTTATACCTATGTAACAATCCTGCACGTTCTGCACATGTATCCCAGAACTTGAAGTATAATTAAAAAATAAATTAAATAAATAAATGAAAATAGGACAAAGCAAAAGTATCATGGCATAAAAAAAAGAAATTTAAATGAAAATAAGTCTTTTTAAAATTTTCACAATCTTGATCCATTGCCTCATATCAAAGCCAAAATAATGTAGACAGTGTGTTCTAAATTTTCTTTCTTTACAGATGAAGAAACTGAGGATCAAAGTGCTTAAATTATTAATAATTACCCAACCTACCAGCTTTTACAATATTTAAAACAACCTATAGCCCAGCTACAGAATTTAATTACACCACTAGGCACACCAAAGTGAAGGCCTCAGCCTCTATTTATTGTATTTTAGTGAATATAAAGACAACTCAAGAAAGTTTATTTAAACACATACTTATCCCTGATATGTTGGTCTTTTCTGATGCCAAAAGACAAGTCATATTCGGCTTTTCTATTTTGCTTTGAAATCAATCATTTAGCCTAGCTCAAGGCAGCCTGCTTTTGAAATGGAAATTATCAACCTAATTCCTTATCTAGTTACTCTACTTAGAAAACACATTATTTTAGACATATCTACCAAAGTATAGCTTATCTTTAAACATAAATGGACAGCATTCACATATATTTTCCTCATTTCATGCCACTGCTTCTCCGCAATAGAACATAGCACTCTTTAACATCTTACTTTAAGTTACACATAAATAAAAATGATATATATGTTGCTTGCCTTTTGTAATACAGCAGATGACGCATATTAATTGGGTTTTGAATTCATAGCAATAGCAGCATGAATAAAACACATCTTTTAGAGTCTTAGATGAATAATGTATTCTAATATCTGGAAAATTTTCCAAATGTATGTTAATAAAGTTAGTTTCTCAACATTGCCAGTGAAGAGTCCTTCCCCTTCAATGAATGTCATTAACTACCATCAATTCAATATTCAGTTTATAAAAAAATAAACTACTCAGATAGAAAGTAATCATTTAAATTGGAAATTTTTAATAATTTTAAATCTAATACAATCTTTTTATCAAGAGTTTCTGTTTACAAATACCATTTAACTTAAGGATCAAAATTAATAGGAAACCACTTCAAACTCAATTTTGTTTATTAAACAGTGCAGTGAATACAGGAGGACTTCCAAAGACCTCATAATATAACATATTACGTTTTCAGGCAAAAACACAGAAGAGTTAATTGCCCAACTTTAATAGCGTGATGAGTGAATGTGTTTCAAATTACTTGGTGTAATTTGTGCTAATGTAACAGTTTTTGGCCTTTTCTATTACATTTTAAATGTAAGTTTAGATTCTGAAAGTGTGGGTATCTACATATAATATACACATATGTATACATTTCAGTGCATGCATATATGTATGGGTATGTATATGTATGTATGTATCTGAAAGCATAACAAAGCGTAAAAGGAGTGTCTTTGAAAATTGTTCTGTAGGCACCAGAAGAGACAGATTGATAACAGGACAGATATCCACAGTAAATCAATATCTGGAACTGTAGCCAAAAGACTGGTCTAATAATTGTGGTGGCATTGCATCATTGCTGGAACAGCTGCTGGAAGTACAGGATGCTGTTGCAATAGTGTCTCAGTTATTTCAAGTGGTACATTAGTATGTTTTACAATGTGCTATAAAGGAATACTTGAAGGTGGGTAATTTATTTAAAAGGAGGTTTATTTGGCTCACAGCTCTGCAGGCTATATCAGAAGCACGGCACCAGCATTGGCTTTCTAATGAGACTTCAAGAAGCTTCCAATCATGGTGGAAAGTGAAGGGGTATGTCACATGGTGAGAGAGGGAGTAAGAGAGAAAGGAAGGAGGTCCCAGGCCCTGTTAACCAACCAGCTCTCTCATCTAATTTCCAATGATACCAGAAACCTGAATTCAAGAGCATCTGTTTATGGCTGATTTAAAGTTATGAAACTTGCCATTGCAAAATTCTAACTGAGACAGTGAAAAAGGTATGACCTAAATGACTCCATCTTGCTTCTAACCTCCAAACTGTCCTTGTTTATTCTTGTACTTTGGAAGGAACTTATAGTTCAGCTTTGAAACAAATATGATAACAGTTCTTTCCCAAAACAAACCTTTTTACTGCCTGTGGACTAGACTGCCTAAACCCATAAGATTAGAAGTTACGGTAATTTTACTAAATAATTCAGGGTGTAGCTATTTTCATTAAACCAATATCAATGTTATTAAAGATTACACAAGCAAAGATCATTCTGTCTTGGGCTGGGTTTATAATTTTGTAACCCCTGTGCCAAATTTTGACAACTTATAGTATTTGGCAGGGATACGTATGAAATTACTTGATTAATAAATGCAAACAAAAATGTATGCTGGTAATTCTTAAGACATTTCTAGTATCATTTTACCCATAATTTTAAAGCTTGCTTATTTATTAAAGATTTTACTTAAGTAACATAAACTTGAAAAAGCATTTGACTAGTCTTTCCTTTTTCTGATAAAGTATTTGATTTAAGCACTTATATTTTTCTTTAAGCCAATTAATTAATGCTTATATATATTTTAAGTAGTGAAACATTGTGTACACAACACATAAATATATAGATGTTTTAGGCATACTGATAGAAGTACATCTTATAGATTCATAAAGACCTTTTCTTTTCACATCTTAGACTATCAGATTCTTGAAAACCTGTTTCACAACATAAACTTGAAAAAGCATTTGACTAGTCTTTCCTTTTTCTGATAAAGTGTTTGATTTAAGCACTTATATTTTTCTTTAAGCCAATTAATTAATGCTTATATATATATTTTAAGTAGTGAAACATTGTGTATACAACACATAAATATATAGATGTTTTAGGCATGCTGATAGAAGTACATCTTATAGATTCATAAAGACCTTTTCTTTTTGCATCTTAGACTATCAGATTATTGAAAACCTGTTTCACAACCCTAGGCAGTTGTCAGCTAAATAGTCTTAAATTTGCATATTGAAAGAAACAACTCAGGTGAAAATCAAATAGCAAAATTTACATCATAAAGTACAGAGAAAAAAAGTCTGGTGGTGCTAGAGGGAGATTAAAGAGGGATACAAAATCAAACATAAAATTATAGAAATTTATCATAGGATTGTGTAAGGAGATCAATTTTATTTACATAAGGACTACCTATCTTTTATCTGGATCTCTGAGCTCTGGGCAGAACCCAGACTGAATCCTGGGTCTCCAAAAAGGAAGAATTATTTTGAGGTTAGACCACATGATGCTTTTACAGTGCACTTAATTTTTTTTTTCTGACAAAGGCTTTTCTAAGTGTCTAAACTACACTCTTCTTTTAAAACCCTAGAGTAGCCTCTGTTGCAATAGTTATTAATGAAGAAAACAGAATTCAGTCAACGGAGAAGAAAACAAACTTTTGCTCAAAAGGAAGACAAGGTCCTGGGAGAGAAAAAAACAAACATGAAGGTCTTTTAAATACAAACATGCACAGATACACACACAAACACACACACACATCTTGGATGTTAGCTTTTAATTAAGCTGACTTTTAACCATTGAGCTCCTTTTTTTAAAAAACGTCTTTTAAAATCTCATTACTATATTTCAGCTAGGACAAATTGCTGCTATTTCAGAAGTACCAAGTATCAAACCAAAAAGGGCTTGATTGAGGAATCAAAGCCAGACTGTTTTGGTGGAACAGAGGGAAGGCAGAACCTTAGCTATCGAACTGCAGTGTGGGGTGACAGCCATTCCTTTCAGTTTGGTCTGGCTAGCAAAAAGGTGGCCTTGTTATATAAATAAAACCCCTTTAGGAGTCAAAATAAAAAAATATGTCCTCTTTTCTTTTTCGCCTAGCACACCACCTACCACCCTTTATTGTGTGTGTGTGTTTGTGTGTGTGTGTGTGTGTGTGTGTGTGTGTGTGTGAGAGAGAGAGAGAGAGAGAATTTAGCCACTTCAGAGGCCTTGCTCCTCATAATTTGGAACTTTCTTTTCCTTTATTTGGATTTGATCAAATTGGATAGAGTTAATCAAACCCAATGGGAAAAAGACGAAAACAGCAAAAACAGAAACAAACAACAACAAAAAAGCAGTTAAGCAAAACAAACAGTGGCATAACTTACATGATCACTGAACACTACAATGGTAAGAGGAAATTAAGATCAGCTGGTTGTTAATCTCAACTTTAGCCAAGACTAACCCTAATTCAGTTTCTTACCTAGGGATGGGACTCAGGCTGTAGACAGCTCTCCACCATCCTAGAAGTGGAGGAAAAAAAAAAAAAACTCATCTTCCCTGTTGGAAGTGAGCTCAAACTCCATAATGGAGTTACCTGTCTTCTTTCTTCATGGAAACAGGAAATCTTGCCTTCCTTTTGGAAACAAGTAAAACTCCAAAAAAAAGAGGAATTGTACAGCAAAGTAAACATTAGGTCTCAACCAAATTTTGGGATTTCATGGATTCTCTGGAGTGGGTGCTCTCAGACCTTGGCAAATTGTCCTATTGGTTTGAGCCATATGGCTAACTCATGCTGGTACCAAGCACTGATAGGAGATTTGTCAAAGGTCAGGGACATCTCCACTCAGGATCCCTTCATAGTTACCAAAATGTGAACCCCAAAAATCTGAGACAGGTCTCAGTTAACTTATAAAATTTATTTTGCCAAGGTTGAGAATGCATGCCCATGACACAGCCTTGAGATTCTGATGACATGTGCCCAAGGTGGTCAGAGCACAGTTTGGTTTAAGACATTCTAGGGAGACATAAGACATCAATCGCCATATGCAAGATGAACTTTGGTTTGGTCTGGAAAGGCAGGACAACTCGAAGCAAAGGTGGGAAGACTCAAAGTGGGGAGGGGGCTTCCAGGTGATAGGTAGAAAAGAGACAAATGATTGAATTATTTTAAGTTTCTGATTAGCCTCTCCAAAGGAGACAATCAGATATACATTGATCTCAGTGAGCAGAGGGGTGACTTCGAATAGAAGGGGAGGCAGGTTGGTCCTAAGCAGTTCCCAGCTTGACTTTTCCCTTTTAGTCATTTGGGGACATGAAGACTCATTTTCCTTTCAGAATACAACAATTCCTTATCCATATTTCCCCAAAGTCTTACCTCTTCCTTGCGTTAACTCAAAAGACCAAAGTTCAAAGTCTCATCTGAGACTCAAGACAAGTTCCTACCACCTATGAACCTGTATTTTTTTTTAGTTATTTACTTAAGATACAATGGTGGTACAGATATTGGATAAACATTCCCATTTCAAAAGGGAGAAATCAGCATATAAAAAGGGAGAATAGGCCCCACATAAGTCCAAAACACTGCATGACAGACATTAAACCTTCAAGCTCCAAAATAATCCTTGACTCCATGTCCAACATCCAGGGCACATTGGTGCAAGGGGTGGGCTCCCAAGGCCTTGTGCACCTCTGTCCCTGTGGCTTTGCAGGGTGGCTTTGCAGGGTGCACCTCCGTCCCTGTGGCTGCTCTCACAGGTTAGAGTTGAGTGGCTGTGGCTTTTCTAGGTTCAAGGTGCAACCAGCTGGTGGCTCTACCATTCTTAGGTCTGGAGGAGGGTGGCAGCATGATTCCCACAACTCCACTAGTCAATGCCCTGGTGGAAACTCTGTGTGGGGGCTCCGATCCCCTCTTTATCATTGGCACTGCCCTCTTTGCGTCTCTCTGTAGGGGCTCTGCACCTGTGGCAGGCTTTTGCCTGGGCACTTAGACTTTCCCGTACATCTGAAATCAAGGAGTAGGCTGCTAAGCCTCCATCACTCTTGCATTCTGCACACCTGCAGACTTAACACTACACCACGTAGAAGCCACAAAGGCTTATGGTTTGTGCCCTCTGTAGCATCATGCCAAACTATAGTTGGGGAGCTTTGAGCCATGGCTGGAGTTAGAGATGCAGACATATGGGGAGCAGTGTCTCAAGGCTGTAAAGACAACAGGGCCTTGGGCCTGGCCCCTGAAAAACATTATTTCCTCCTAAGCCTCTGGGCCTGTGATGGAAGGGGCTGCCTCAAAGACTTTGAAATGCCTTTGAGGCCTTTTTCTCATTGTCTTGGCTATTAGCACTTGGATTCCTGTTATTCATGCTAATTTCCCTAGCAAGTGTTTGCTCTACAGCCTGCTTGAATTCATCTACTGAAAACGCTTTTTCCTTCTATACCACATGGCTAAGTGGTAAATGTTCCAAATTTTTGTGCTTTGCTTCCCTTTAATTGTAAGTTCCAACTTTAAGTCATTCCTTTGCTCCCACATCTGATAATAGGTTGTTAGAAACAGCAACATCACATCTTGAATGCTTTGCTGCTCAGAAATTTATTCTGCCAGATGCCTGAGGGTATTACTCTTAGGTTCAACCTTCTGCAAATCTCTAGGGCATGAACACAGTGCAGCCAAGTTTTTGCTAAGGTGTAAAAAGGCTGATCTTTACTCCAGTTCTCAGTTACTTTTTCATTTCCATCTGAGACTTCATCACACTGGAGTTCATTGCCCATATTTCTTTCAGCATTTTGGCCACAATCATTTAACCAGTCTCTAAGAACTTCCAAACTTTTCCTCATCTTCCTTCTTCAGAGCCCTCTAAACTCTTCCAACCTCTACCCATTACCCAGTTCCATAGCTGCTTCCACATTTTCAGGTATCTTTATAGCAATGCCCCACTTTTCAACATCAATTTTCTAGCTACTATTATCTGAAACATGTTTAATATGTATTATACCTAAAATATTCGTTTTCTTCCTCATACATAGTTGCTTCCTGGTATCTGGTTTAGAAATAATATTAACATGCCAAATGTCAAGGAATTGAAGGAAGGGCCTATATGAGTAGTTAAATTAGCTGTATTGTTTTTGTTTTGTGGATTTTGTTAGTAATTTTTTTGTGTGTTTTGCTTTGGGACCTTTTTTATTTTGGTTTTGCAAAAAGTAACTTAAATAGTTTAATAATTGCTTCATATAACATGGAGGTAGAACAGGAAAAAATACATTCAGCTATTCTTATTATGGATTAAGTGTTCAAATAAACCAGTGTGAGATAATAACACTGTCAATTAATTGGTGGGATTAGCCTTGCCATTTTATTTTTATAAATGTGTATTTTTTCTGAATGTGTCTTGAGTCCAAGAGTGGACAAAAAATAATTTTCTACTTTGCACTAATTTATAAAGGTATTTGAAAGTCTGTATTACTAATTTGTTAAATTCGTGATATTCTGCCTATGACATAAATTGTAAACTTTTGTTTTTCTAAAAAAAGTAATTGACCACTTGTAAAAGAAATAATGCCCTATGCTGATGAAAATTCACACAATGTTATGATACTCAAGTATAGAAATTGGGCACAGGATATATTCTGATTAAAATTTCCTCAAAGATCAACTTGAAGGATAGCTTTTGACTCTCCTTCATGCATATACCCCTTTTCATATTTCTCCTTCTCAAAGAAATATTTTTTCTATCATAGCATGACTACCCATTATGTAACCAAAAGCACACAGCTTCACTTGAAAAAGACAACTCAAATATCATCAATTACTCTTTATACTTCCAAATCTAAAATCTTGATTTACTGAATTGTTTTTCCCTGGAACTCATCAAATTTGGTCTCTGTGCTTTGTTATTTCTGAGCGAAATCATAAGGCTATTTACATGTACATGAAATGTGCAACTGGTCCCAGAGCTATCAATGGTATCTAAACCTTTGTTCCTACATGATTCATCCCATGAGTCTTTCACCTCTTGTAAAAAACACAGCTCTTGCCTTTTGCTACTTTCTGTGGTTTTTAAAATTTCTTTTTGATTCCCACTAATTTCTGAGGATTCTAATCATTCACAAGACTTGCCAGCACATGTTTGCACAAACTCCATTTTGTAGCAGCAACCTTATTTTCCTCTGAGAGGCAGAATTGTTTACCCAAATACTCATCGTAGGCCACTTTAAAAAATATGTTGTCTAGGTGAATCAGAAGCTTAAATTGTTCCAGTTGCAATGTTAACTCTTACTTAAATAAAAGCACTGTTTTTCACCAAGTAGAAATATTTTTTTTCCTTTGGACATGGAATCTCTAATTAAGATTCCCGGAGATTAAGAAATCTTTTTCAAGTGGGAAAGTATATGTAATAAAAGAGAAATATTGTTCATTGACTTTAAGCATACACAGCACTCTATAGGGTAGCCTCCCAGTTTCATATAGTTGAATTGTCCAGATAGCTCTGCACTTGAATCTTCTTGGGCCATCCCACTTTTCTATATATCACGAACTACTTTCATTTAATGAATTACATTATAAGATCAATGAAGAGTTGCATGGGTATCAGACTTTTTCTTATTATTTTGTTTGAAAGTGAGTTTCTTGGCTAATAGCAAGATTGTGTGGGAAGTTCTGAAGAAAAAATATATGTGTGTATGTATATATATGTTGAGTATATATAAATTAATGGAAGGAAGAAAAATATTGTACAGAATGAAGAATACTGTAAATATTCATATGTAGCAAAAAATATTAAAATAGATGTAACAGAACCTATGAATGTTGGAAAGGAATACTTAGAGATAATGGAGATGATATTGTTTTCTAAATGTGTTCACATGAAAAAAGCAACAATGAAAATATAATAAACTATCACACTTAGATATTTGTTGCTAGCCATAGTTCCTTCACTCCATGACTTTGTTGCCAACAATAGTCTACATTTTTTATGGTCTAACCTTAATTATAAACATCTCAGCATTTATTAGGGCCATGTATGTTTGTAAATAATATAATCTCTAAACATTTTAACGCAATTGAAACATATAAATAAATGAGGAAAATATGTATAATAATTTAAGATAACAGACTAAATGTCTCTAACCTTATAAACATAAGGTTTATCTTTATCTCAAGAATATAGCAATACTACTATGGAAACAGAGGTTAGCATAAACATTATCCTATCATAAATTACAGGTGTATTCTAAGTCTTCTAGTGGTTACATTTAAAAACATGCAAGGAAATTGGCAATAATATGTTCAGAATGGTATAAGATAAGGTTACTTCCATTCAGTGGATAGAATTTTAGTGTTCCAAATTATGACCATTTCCTGCAGAAGGTTTTTTTTTTTTTCTGTAGCAGCTACTTTTAGAAGATAAGACTATTCCATAATTAATTTCCTGTTGTTTTTTGTTATGCTTCTAGTAATGTGTTTCTGTGCTCTAATAGGATAAAGATAGTGTTACAAAATAAATGTAATGCATATTTTCCATTTTTCAAAGCCTTGTCTTTGAAAGCATGAAAAGTTTTGAGTTTAAAATTGTAAGTTATGTAAATTACATCCAAACAAATGATTGTTTAGAAAGTTTAAGGTCCTTAGCCGTGTGCTAGTTCCACTGAAAGATAAACATAAGCATAACCAACTTCCTATTAAAAGCTTAAGGGGAATACAGCCAGGAGCAGTGGCTCAGGCCTGTAATCCCAGCACTTTGGGAGGCAAGGCGGGCAGATCATGAGGTCAGGTGTTCGAGACTAGCCTGATCAACATGGTGAAACCCCGTCTCTACTAAAAATGCAAAAATTAGCCAGGCGTGGTGGTGCATGCCTGTAGTCCCAGCTACTTGGGAGGCTGAAGCAGGAGAATCTTTTGAACCTGGGAGGCAGAGGTTGCAGCGAGCCGAGATCATGCCACTGTACTCCAGCCTGGGTGACAGAGTGAGACTCCATCTCTAAATAAATAAATACATAAACTTAAGGGGGAATATTCACTTTTAGGGCCATTGAAAAGCATATAGAGAACTGAATACAAGGCTGAATTCAAATTGCATTGCAAAGAACAAAGTGTATATGATGAGGTAAGTCGTGGTAGAAATACTTTTTGAACAATGAATAGGATTTTTATAGGTAAACATGTATGAGAGGAAAGGCATTTAACAAAAAAAAAATATGTATATTAGCAAAAATTTAGAGGCTGGAAAATTTGAGACACCGTTAGTGAAATACATTGACTTCAACTTGTATAGATTACATCAATATTTTAAAAGAGCTGAATAATGAGAATGCATGGCCGCATGGGAGGAGCAACGCACATTGGGGCCTGTTGGAGGGTGGGGGATGAAAGGCAGAAGAGCATCAGGAAGAATAGCTAATGGATGTTGGGCTTGAAACCTAGGTGATGGGATGATCTGTGCAGCAAACCACCATGGCACATGTTTACCTATGTAACAAACCTGCACATTTTGCACATGTACCCCTGAACTTAAAAGTTCAAAAATTTTTAAAAAATAAAAAATTTAAAAACGTGTAGCCAGCTATAATGTGGGGAAGGTGTGTTGTACCGGTTCATTTAAAATCTTGAAAAATTAAGATTGTGAAATATATAACTAATGAATTAGGCAATGAACACGATTAGCACTGTGCTTAAGAAAGATTGATCTGGTAACACCATAATACATAAAAGTAGCTAAAGTATTGACAGATATGAAGTCAACAGTTGGACATTATTTCAGTAATCCTAGCTTATATGAGGAATCCTACAAATGCAGCATTAAATGTAGAGATAGAAAGAAGAAAATAATATTGAACAAAACAAAGAAAGCAAAATCAAAATAGAAAAGGACAAATGTGGTTGCTCATAAAATTAGGTGAGAAAAATAACACAAAAATGACTAAAGCCTTATATTTAGCTATTAGAAGATTCATGCTTCATTACTAAGAGTTATTGAAGGCATGATTTAGAGCCATGTCCCAGAGAGAGCCTAATGGATAACCTGTAATTGTTGATGACTTTCGTCCAATAGTTCTGCATGACTGTTGCAATATTAAATGACATAAATACACTAATAGTGTAATTTTCTTAAAAACTTTGATAAAAATTTGAGTGATCCCTATTTATAAAAAAAATGATAATTGGTCTATGGGAATTAAAATCACTTCTTTATATGACATGCCTTTAGGTTGTTTTAAACTTTATGCTTTACTGTAATTTCACAAATATAAGCTATACATTTATAGCACACACACATTATTTAAGAGAACAGGAGATGGCAAAGCACAATGTGTTTACATAAATAGGTTGAGGGGTGATGTCAGCAAGAATGTCAAAATAGAATTTTTCTAGCTCTACTCTTTCCCACCAAATCCCATCTAGAAATTATCGATAAGCAAGAATACCTTTGTGAATATCCCAGAACTTGAGAGTGAGGCTGACACCCTTTTTGACCATATAATGAGAAAAGCCATGCTTAAAGGTCTTCCCCCATCCTAGTGGCAACTGCAAGTCAATGATTCCCTTCAGAGGGAGCATATGGTTCCACCCACCCCCAGTGGCTAGTCGGCGAAGTCTTGGTGCTCTGCTTAAGCCTACCCTAGGCTGGGATGCAAGCCCAAGTCCACACATATCTGGAGTAAAGCCTCTGGTCCTGCTCACTCTGTGAGGTCACATAGCAATTCCAGAAACCTCACCAAGTCTGAGAGCCCATCAAGTGGCCCTGCCCAGCTACACATGCCAAGCAACGGTACTGTCCTACCAGAAAAGATAACCTACAACCCTGTCCAATTAGAATAAGTTACAGAGTCCAGCCAACAGAATTATCTGATGACAGAGTCCAGTGAGTGGTCTCACTGGAACAAAGGAACACAGTATGCAGTACCATTTAACATCAGACAGGAAGCAACCAATCCCAACTAGACAACCTGGCACCAAGGTCTACCTGTGTACAGTTGCTTCCAGTAGGCTCATCCATAACATCAGGATAAACTAAATAGTACAGATATATCACCACCAAAGAATACCTGCAAAGGCCAGAAATAATGGCCATTTCCTCAAATGTGACGGCATCAATGCAAAGACACAAGGCTTAAGAAGAATTACGAAAATATGACACACCAAAAGATACTAATAAAGCTCCAATAATAGACAGAAGAAATGGAGATCTATGAAATGATGGACAAATAATTCAGAATAATACTCAAAGAAGTTCAGAGAACTCAAATAAAAATACAGATACAAAATTAAATAAATTTTTGATTACAATTTAGGACTAAAATAATTTTTACAAAGAAATAAAAACAATTAAAAAACACAATTAGAGATCCTAGAGATAAAGAATACAATAACTGAACTAGAAAATTCAATAGTAAACTTCAAAGGCAGAGTTGATCATGCAAAAGAAAATAAATAAACTCAAACATATTACATTAGAAATTATTCAATTAGAGGAGCAAAAAATAAATAAATAGAAAGGAAAAAAATAAAGGTCTATGCAAATTATGGGACACCATCAAGCAAAACAACTTTGACATAACAGGAGTTTCAAAAGAAAAGATAAATTAAAAGGCCAAGAAAATGTATTTAATAAAATAATGGCTGAAAATTTTGCAGATTGGAGATAAGACAACAACATCCAGGTCAAGGAAGTTCAAAGGATGTCAGATAAATTCAGCCCAAAAAGGAGCTCACCAAGACACATAATCATATTATGAAAAATCAAAGACGAAGAAAGAACACAAAAGCAGCAAGAGAAAATAAATATATTCCATTCAATGAAGACCCAGTATGACATTCAGTGAATTTCTTAGCAGAAACCCTGCAGTCCAGGAGATATGGGATGATATATTCAAAGTGCTGAAGGAAAGACTGTCAACAAAGACTATTTTACCAGCAAAGCTATAATTCAGAAATGAGGTATAAATAAATACTTTCCCCACCCACCCCCCAAAAAAACTAAGGGTAATTATCCCTAGAGCTACTTTATAGAAATTTCTAATGGAAATTATTTAAGCTGAAAGAAAATCCTGTAACTAATTCTGAAGAAAAAGGAAAAAATTCAATGGTACAAGTAATGTTTAGTCATATTCAGAATTCTCACACTGTAAATATAGTGTGTAAAGCAATATTATTCCCACTATAAGGGTTATATTACTTGGATATTTGTTATCTCCAAATTTCATGTTGAAATTTGATCCCCAGTGTTGGAGATGGGGCTGGGTGGGAGGTATTTGGGTCATGGGGCGTGGATTTCTCATTAAAGGGTTGGTGCTGTCCTTGTGGTAATAAATGAGATCTCACTCTATTAGTTTCCAAGAGATCTGATTATTGAAAAGAGCCTGGTACCTTCCTCCCCTCTGTTTCCTCCTTCTTCTCTCCATATAATGGCTGCTCCCTCTTGCCTTCTGCCACAAGTGGAGTCTTTGTGAAGCCCTCCTCAAAGCAGATTCTGGTGCAATGCTTTTGTACAGCCTGCAAAACCATGATACGAATAAACCCTTTTTCTTTAGAAATTTCCTAGCCTCAGGTATTCCTTTATAGCAACACAAAATGGACTGAGACAGAGGGCTAAAAATCAAAACTATTAAAACAAAACTATTAAAGCCAAAACAACTGTATCTACAATCAACTGTTAAGGGATATAAGTTATGCAAACGTAAACATTGACACCAAAATTTTAAAAGGTGGGAGAAAGTGAAAGTGTAGTTTTTGTATGTGATGAAAATTGTTATCAACTTAAATAGCCTGTTATAAGAACAAGATGTTTTATGGAAGCCTCATGATAACCAAATATTAAAAACCAATAGTAGTTACCACAAAGTGAAAAAGAAAGGATTAAAAGCTTATCACCACAGAAAACCACCAAATCATAAAGGAAGACAGCAAGAGAGGGCCAGGCACAGTGGCTCACGCCTGTAATCCCAGCACTTTGGGAGGCCAAAGTGGGTGGATCACCTGAGGTCTGGAGTTCGAGACCAGCCTGGCCAACATGGTGAAACCCCATCTCTACTAAAAATACAAAAAATTAGCCGGGCATGGTGGCAGGCGCCTGTAATCCCAGCTACTTGGGAGGCTGAGGCAGGAGAATCGCTTGAACCCTGGGGACAGAGGTTTCAGTGAGCCGAGATGGTGCCATTGCACTCCAGCCTGCGCAACAAGAGTGAAACTCTGTCTCAAAGAGAAAAAAAAAAAGGAAGACAGCAAGAGAGAAACAAAAAAACAAGACTTACAAAACAATCAGAACACAGATCATAAAATGGCAGTATCAAATCTTTATTTATTAGTAACTACCTTTACTATAAATGGATGAAATGACTCAATAAAAAGACATAGACTGGCTGAATGGATGCAAAACAACAACAGCAACTACAACAAAAGAATATGATTCAACGATATTCTTCCTAAAGACTGAATGTGAAAGGACTGAAAAGGTATTTCACGCGAATGGACACCAAAATAGAGCAGGAGTAGCTATACTTGTATCAGACAAAATGGATTTTAAGTCGAAAATTATATAAAAGAGGCAAAGAAGTTTATTATATAATGATAAAGGGATTAGTTCTCAAGAGGACATAATTATAAATATATATGTACAACAAAATTAAAATACCTATATACATGAAGCAATTATTAAATAATCTGAGAAGATATATAGACTATAACCCTCCAATAGTAGAGGACCTCAGCACTCCACTTTGAACAATAGACAGACCATCTAGATAGATAATTAATAGAGAAATATTGGACCTGAATTACATTCTAGACCAAATGAACCCAACAGACATTTACAAAACATTCCATCCAATAGCAGCACATTCTTCTCAAGTATGAACAGAACATTATCCAGAATAGATCATAAGTTAGGCTACACAACAAATCTTAACAAACTTAAAGACTGAAGTTACATCAGGTAACATTTTGACTCACAATGGCATGAGACTAAAAATCAATAACCAGAGAAATCTTGGCAAATACACAAATATATAGAAATTAAACAACACAGTCCTAGAAAATGGGCTCCGAAGAAATTTTTTAAAAAATAAAAATGCCTTGAGACAAGGGAAAATGGAAACACATCTACCAAAACTTATGAGATGTAATAGAAGCAGTCATAAGAGGAAAATGTATGGTGATAAATGCTATATTTTCTTTAAAAAGAGAAAAATCTCAATCTGATGTTATAGCTCAAGGAACTAGACAAACAAGAACAAGCTAAGCCCAAAGTTAGCAGAAGAAAGAAAATAACGAAGATCAGAGCATCAACAAATGAAATAGACTAGAAAAACAAACAAAAATCAATAAAATTAAGAGCTGGTTTTTTTAAAAGACAAGCAAAATTGACAAACCTTTAGCCAGACTAGGGAAAAAAGAGAGAAGGCTCAAAATAACATAATTAGAAAGGAAAGAGAAGATATTACAATTGATACCACAGAAATACAAAGGATTATAAGAAACTGCTTTGAAAAATTACATGCCAACAAATTGGATGATGTAGAATATATGAATAAATTTCTAGGCATATACAACCCACCAAGACTGAATCAGGAAAAAAAAAAAACAGAAATCTGAACTGAATATGATTAAGGAAATTGAATCAGTAAAAGAAGTCTCCTTAAAAAAAAAAAAAAAAGCCCAGTAGCTGAAGACTTCACTGCTGAATTCTGCCAAACATTTAAAGAAGTACTAATACCATTTCTTCTCAATACTTCCAAAAAATTAAAGTGAAGAGAACACTTCCAAACACGTTTTAGGAGGCCAGCATTACCTTCATACCAGAGCTAGACAAGAATACAAGAAAATTACAAGGCAACATCGCTGATGAACACAGATACTAAAATCCTCAACAAAATATTAGTAACCAAATTCAACAATGCAGTAAAAAATCATTCAATTCACCACGATCAAGTGGATTTGTCCTTGGGATGTAAGGATGATTCAACATATGCAAATCAGTAAATGTGATAGACCACATAATAAATATAACTACTCTTAACAGATTAGGTATAGAGGAAATGTACCTTAACACAACAGAATCTGCATATGACAAACACATAGTTAACATCATTCTCAACAATAAAAAAGTTGAAAGCTTTTCTCCTAAAATAAACGCCAAGGTGAGGACACCTATTCTCACCGTGTCTTTTTAACACAGTACTGGAAGTCCTAGCCAGAGCAATTAGGCAAGAAAAAGAAATGAAAGTCATTCTACTAAGAAAAGGAGGAATGAAATCATCTCTATTTGCTACTGACATGATTTTACATATAGAAACCTATAAAGACTTTAACAAAAAACAGAACTGATAAATTCAGTTAAGTTGAAGGATATAAAATCAACATACATAAATTAGTAGTTGTATTTATTAAAACAAACTATCCAAAAAAGAAATTAAATCCTATTTACCAAAGCAACATCAACAATGTAATATGTAAAAATAAATTTAACCAAGGAGGTAAATAATTTGTATATTTAAAATCATAAAACATTAATGAAAAAAATTAGAAAAAACACACAAATAAGTTGAAAGATATTTTATGCTTATGGTTTGGAAGAATTAATATTGTGAAAATTTCTGTACTACTCAAAGTGAACTACAGATTCAATGCAACCCCTATCAAAATTCCAATGTTATTTATCAGAGAAACAAAAAAAAACCTTAAATTTATTAGAAAACCACACAAAAAAAGTCAATAGCCAAGTCCATTTTGAGCAAAAGGAACAAATTTGTCAGATGAAGACATGGGCAAAGTACCTGAACAGACATTTTTCAAAAGAAGATACACAAATGACCAACAGATACATAAAAATGAAAAAAAAAGCTCAAATCACTAATTACCAGGGAAATGCAAATTAAATCCACAATGAGATACTATTTTATACCTGTTGCAATGTCTTTTACCATAAAATAAAAGAGCAAGTGTTGGTGAGGAAAAAGGGAACACTTGTATGTCATTGGTGGGGATGTAAATGGGAGTACTGCCATAAAGAAAATTATATGGAGGACCGTCAGAAAGCTAAAAATAGAACTACAGTGTGATCTAGGAATCCCACTTTTGGATATATAACCAAAGGAATTGAAATCAATACATCAAAATGCTTTTTGTGCTCCCATTTTTTGGGAGCACAGAAGTCAGGTATGGATTCAACCTGTGTCTATCGATGACTGAATAGATTTAAAAACTGGTATATATATATATGCAAAGGAATACTATTCAATCTCAAAAAAGAAAGAAATCCTGTCATTTGCAACAACATAGATGGAACTAGAGGATATTATGTAAATAAGAACTAGTGAAATATGCCAGGCACAGAAAGGCAAATACCACATAATCTCATTTTTAGTGGAATCTACAAAAGTTGCACTCATAGAAGTAGAAAGTAGGATTATGGCTACTAGAGGCTGGAGAGTGGAGAGGGAGGAAATGGGGAGTTGTTGATCAAAGGGTACAAAGTTTCAGATAGACACAAGGAATGCAATTTGAGATCTATTGCACAGCAAGGTGACTATTGTCAATAATAATGGACTTTATATTTCAAAATACTAAAAGAGTAAATTTTAAATGTT